>NC_000012.12:45490431-45641946 GCF_000001405.40 Homo sapiens | reverse complement strand
ATCCCACTTACAGGAATCTTTCCCAAAGATTCACTGGGAAAAATATGGAATGACATGTACAAAGCAATTCATGATAACACCATTTATAACAGCAAAATGGAAAACAACCTAAATGTCCAGCCATGAGAGACGAATTGAAACAAAATATGGTATATTCACACAATGGATGACCATGCAGGGGTTAAAAGAAATGAAGAAATCTCCATATCTTGCTATCCTGCTATGTATAGCATTAGGTGAAAAATTTAAGGGCAGAATAGTGTCTATAATATGCTACCTTTTACCTAATAAAGGAATATAAATATAAATACATATTTATATTTGCATATATTAATACAATAATGGAATGATAAACAAAAAACTAGTGAAAATGGTTATTTGGTAGAGAGTGAGGAGGGAGGTAACTGAGTGGCAGGGATAAAAATTGATACTAGACTTTTCTAAACATACTTTGATAAGTGTACTTAGTTTGACCTTGGAACCATGTGAATGTTTTTACCCAATTTTAAAATAAAATTAGATAAAAATAAAGACAACAACAACAAATAATGCAATCTCTAAGAACTGGAAACCAAATGAGCCAAAATAAAACAAATGTATTTTATATTTGTGAATTTGTGTCTTAGGCACACATGTGACTTTAAGACACAACGAATTTTGGAAATGCATTCTTAGTGAAATATATTCTAAGGACACAACTGGAAATAAATCTTAAACTGTACTTAGATATCATATTGTTAGTTTTTATATTGGCATTGTTATTTTGAAATCATAATATGTATATAATGGGATGGAGTAAATAAATAATTATGTCATGTCACTGGGAACCAAGATTTTCAGGATAAAGAGATACATATATAAAAATTAAAGAAGTTAAGTTAAAACACTATACTCTGGAAATATGATAAGAACTCATGATTTTTTTCTCTGAAAAAAAGGAAAACAACAAAGCAGGCCAGGCATGGTGGCTCATGCCTGCAATCCTTGCGCTTTGGGAAGCTGAGGCAGAAGTTCATTTGAGCCCAAGAGTTTGAGATCAGCCTGGGCAACATCATGAGACTCTATCTCCACAAAAAGCTAAAAATTAGCTGGGCATGGTGGCACATGTTTGTAGTCCCAGCAAATTGGGAGGCTGAGGCGGGAGGATCACTTGAGCCCAGGAGGTCGAGGTTGCAGCAAGCTGGGATCTTGCCACTGCACTTCAGCCTGAGTGATACAGTGAGACCCTGTCTCAAAACAACAACAACAAACAAAAACAAACAAACAAACAAAACACAAAGCAACGGCCAGGTGTTGTGGCTCATGTCCGAAATCCCAGTACTTTGAGAGGCAGAGTCAGGCAGATCACATGAGGCCAGGTGTTCGAGACCAGCCTGGCCAACATGGCGAAACCCCATCTCTACTAAAAATACAAAAATTAGCTGGGCATGGCAGTGTGCAACTGTAATCCCAGCTACTTGGGAGGCTGAGGCATGAGAATCGCTTGAACCTGGGAGGCGGAAGTTGCAGTGAGCCGAGATTGCACCACTGTACTCCAGCCTGGGTGACAGAGCAAGACTCTGTCTCAAAAACAAAACAGAACAAAACACAAAGTGATATAGTTTGGGTCTGTGTCCCCACCCAAATCTCATCTTGAATTGTAGCTCCCATAATTCTTACATGCTGTGGGAGGGAACTGGTGGGAGATAACTGAATCATGGGGGCAGTTTCCCCCATACTGTTCTTGTGATAGTGAATAAGTCTCACGAGATCTGATGATTTTAAAAATGGGAGGCTCCCTGCACAAGCTCTCTTCTCTTGTCTGCTGCCATGTGAGATGTCCCTTTCACCTTCTACCATGATTGTGAGGCCTCCCCAGCCATGTGGAACTGTAAGTCCATTAAACCTCTTTTTTCTGTAAATTGCCCAGTCTCGGGTATGTCTTTATCAGCTGCATGAAAATGGACTAATACACAAAGCAACAACAAAACTTATTTTCTAACTGTGGATATTGAAAAGGCCTAGAAACAATGATGTTTCAGTAGCAATTAATATCCCTGCCTCCTGGATTGTGGTTTCTAACTACCATTTCCTAAGGCTCCTGGCAGAAATTGCTGATTCCAGGTCTGAAGCAGGAAATATACAAGATAATTCCAGAAAATCATGTGATAACAGAAAGCAAATAAGCTAATAAAGATGACTGAGGTTTTATTAAAAGGACTCAGGATCCAACTTGAGACTCCCACTGGCCAGAGATGGGACAAATTGAGCATCAAAAAGAATACTGAGGTTGGGTATGGTGGCTCAGGCCTATAATCCCAACAGTTTGGGAGGCCGATATGGGAGGATTGCTTGAGTCCAGGAGTTCAAGACCAGGCTGGGCAACATAGGGAGACCCCATCTCTACAAAAAATTAAAAAATTAGTTGAACATGGTGGCATATGCCCGTAGCCCCAGCTACTGAAGTGGGAGGATTGCTTCTGTCTAGGAGGTTGAGGCACAGTGAGCACTGATCACACCACTGCACTCCAGCCTGGGCAATAGAGTCAGACTTTGTCTCAAAAAAAAAAAAAAAGAAGAAAAAGAATGCAATGCAATGAGTTGAAAATAAATATATGAAAAAATCCATGTTTACAAATAAAACAAGCAGAAGAGTAATTGGTAAACTTTGAAAGTTGCTAAGCAGCCGGGCACGGTGTCTCATGCCTGTAATCCCAGCACTTTGGGAGGCCGAGGTGGGCAGATCACTTGAGGTCAGGAGTTCAAGACCAGCTTGGCCAACATGGTGAAACGCTGTCTCTACTAAAAATACAAAAATTAGCCGGGTGTGGTGGTGGGTGCCTATAATCCCAGCTACTCAGGAGGCTGAGGCATGAGAATTGTTTGAGCCCAGGAGGCAGACGTTGCAGTGAACTGAGGTCATGCCACTGTACCCCAGCCTGGGCACCAGAGTGAAACTCCATCTCAAAAAAAAAAAAAAAAAAAAAAAAGAGAGAAAAAATAAAAAGTTGCTTAGGCATCAGCCCATTATTCTGAAAACCAATTAATAAGGGAAAGAATAAAACATTTTTCCTGACTTCTTGAACAAACTTTAGAGTTATCAAATAGTTCTGATGAAAAAAGTAATCTTTATAGAAGAATTCCAACTAATGAGTACTGAGAGAATGACAGAATTAGAAAAATCTCTTTTTTGGATCCCATAAGAAAATAATGGAGGTAGATTATCAATGGCCCTCTAAGGCTGCTAGAACTGCTGGGTGAGAAGTTGATGGAGAACTTTATAATGGATAGATCAGGCTGACAATGCCTGCCTGCATTCAGACATCAATCTTAACATCAGAAAAAGAGTGGCACAGCAAGTGCTTCCTGTCATGATACAATAGAAAGTACACAGTGTTGCCTAGGAAATATCATTACCAAAAAACTGGAACATGAATCTAATCAACGCTTTAGACTTAGCTACCAAGGATAGGAAATAGAACATGTTAAATGACACCATAAGAATGCAATCAGCCAATCCAGAATGTGGAAATTTAATGAACCAAACAACTTGGTTTTTTCAACAATAAAAGATAAACAGGGGGTTGGGTGACAAAGAATTGTTATCAGTTAATAGAGAATTAGGAAACCAAGACACCAAATGCAATCTGTGGACTTTCTTTGAATCCCTATCCAAACAACCCAATTGTAAAAAGACATTTATGATGCAAGTGGAAATGTTTTTTTCTTATGGTAACATATATGTAAGATAAGTTTGCCATATTAACCATTTTAAGCATATAGTTCAGTAGTGTTAAGTTCATTCACATTTTTGTGCAATCAATATCCAGAACGGTTTTTATTTTGCAAAACTGAAACTGTATACACATAAAAAAAAAAAAGCACTATCCTTTCCCCATTCCTCTTAACCCCTCCTACTGGCAACTGCCATTCTATTTTTTATGTTTGTGAATTTGACTACTGTTAAGTACTTCATATGAATGGAATCAAACAGCTCTTTGTCCTTTTGCGAATGACTTATTTCACTTAGCTAATGTCTTCAAGTTTCATCCATGCTGTAGCATATGTTAGAATTTCCTTCCTTTTAGAAGCTGAGTAATATTCTATGGTATGTATATACCACATTTTGTTTATTCATTCATCTGTCCATGAACCCTTGGATTGCTTCCACCTTTTGGCTATTGTGAAAAATGCTGTATGAATATGGGTGTACAAATATCTGTTGAGTCTCTGCTTTGAATTTTTTTGGCTGTATATTCTGAAGGGGAATTGCTGGATCATATAGTAGCCTATTTTGAATTTTTGGAGGGATCACCATACTGTTTTCCACAGTGGCAGTACAATTTTACATTTCCACCAGCAATGTGGGTTTCAATTTCTCCACATCCTCACCAACACTAATTATCTGGGTTTTTTGTTCGTTTGTTTGTTTGTTTGTTTATAATGGCCATCCTAATGGGTGTTGGTTAGTATCTAATTGTGGTTTTTATTTGTATTTCCCTGGTGACTAGTGATGTTGAACATCATTTAACGTGCTTATTGGTTTTTGTACATCTTCTTTGGAAAAAGGTCTCTTCAAGTCCTTTGCCCATTTTAAAATTGGGTTTCTTTGTTGTTGAGTTGTGCAAGTTCATTATATATTTTGGATATTAACTCCTTATTAGATATGTAATTTACAAATATTTTATGACATTTCATGAGTTGCCTTTTCACTTGGTTGATAGTATCCTTTGATGTACAAAAGGTTTACATTTTGATGAACTCCAGTTGATCTTTCTTTTGCTGTCATATCTAAGAAATCAATGCCAAATCTAATGTCATGAAGATACATATCTATGATTTTTTCTAAGATATTTATAGTGTAGCTGTTAGATTTTTTATCTATTTTGAATTTTTTTTTTTTGCATACAGTCTTAGGTGAGGGCCCAATTTCATTCTTTTTCATGTTTTCCCAGCACCATCTGTTGAAAACCATGTCTTTTCTACATTGGATGGTCTTGTCATCTTTGTTAAAAATCATTTGACAGTATATTCAAGGGTTTATTTCTAAGCTCTTAATTACATACCTGCAATTAGAAAATTTTAAACAATGGGTGTTGGATAGTAGATGCTATGAAGAAAGTTGTGGTAATTTTGTTAGGTTTGATCATAGTTTTGTGAATATGTTATAAAAGGATGTCCAATTATTAGATAAAAAGAATTTGGGAGTAAAATGCTATAATGTCTGGAAATTACTCAAAAATACCCCAGCTGGGTGGGGAGAGGGCAACTGTACATGTGTGGGTAGAAATGAAACATGATTTGCCAAATACTGGTAATTGTTGAAGCCAGATGATGGATACATGGGTGTCTATTATTTTGTTCTTCCTTTTTTTGTGTATGTTTGGGATTTTTCAAAATAAAAAGCTAGAAATTATGCAAGATAAATAGTTAAAATATCATCCTACAACAAATGTCTAATAGGCATCTCAAACCTAACATGTCTCTGTCCTTGCCCTCCAAACATATTTGTCAACTAATATTTATAATCTTAGTTAATAGACTTTTGTCACATGGTTGCTCAGGCCAAAACTGTGAAACCATCTGAATTAAGCTGTTCTTGTGTTGCTATAAAGAAATACCCGAGATTGGGTAATTTATAAGGAAAAGATGTTTAGTTGGCTCAAGTTTCTGCAGGCTGTACAGGAAGCATGGCACCGGCATCTGCTTGGCTTCTGGGGAGGACTCAGGGAACTTTTACTCACGGTGGAAGAGAAAGTGGGAGCCAGTGTGTCACATGGTGAGAGCAGGAGCAAGAGAGAGAGAGAGAGAGTGAGGGGGAGGTGCCACACACTTAACCAGAGCTCGGGAGAACTCACTCACTATCACGAGGACAGCACCAAGCCAGAAAGGATCTGCCCCCATGATCCAATCACCTCCCACATGACCCCACCTCCAACAATGGGTATTTCATCTCAACATGAGATTTAGAGGGGACACATACCTAAACTATATCAGCATCAATGATTTCCTTCATGCCCCACAATAAACCTATCAATCAATTCCTCTTAACTCAACACTCCAAACCACCTCTCAACATATTTTTGGTGCCTCCCCGGTTCAAGTCACCATCATCTCTCATTTGGACAACTTCTATAGCTCCTAAGTTTCTCTTTGCTACCACCTTTCCCATACCTCAGCCCCATACAAGCTATTCTCCACATAGTTGCTGGAGTAATCTTTTAACATATTAAATTGGCTTAGATCTGATCCCTGCTTAAAACCCTCCAATGTGTTTCCTTCACAGTAAGGACAAAATCCAGACTCCTACAAGGCCCTCTGTGAGCTGCCCCTGCCTAGGCCTTTCTCGCTTTCTGGCTCTTCATCCTGACATGTTTAGCCCTGAGAAGCAAGGCTCAGCTCAGTCAGGTCTCAGCCCTGGGCTGTTTCTTCAGAGAAGCCTTTCTTGACCACGCTATCAAAAGCTGTCAGTACCACCCACCTCCTACCAATGCAATTACCCATCTATTGTTCTTTCAAGGCACTTATTTTCTGAAGTTTTATTTACCTCTCTGGTCTCTTGTTAATCGTCCGCCACAGCTCACTAGAATGTAAGCTCTAGAAGAGTTGAGATCTTGTCTTATTTACTTCTGATTCACCTGCACCTACAAGGCCTAGAACAGTGCCTGGTATATGAACAGGTGCTCAGTAAATTTGTGTTGCATGGATAAACTTGTTTCCAAGAGATTTCCAGCAGCGTGTGAAATGAATTCTGGCTGTCCTCAGAGAGGAACCTAACCTACTATTGCAGCAGTTTAGGTGAAAGTTTATAGGGACTATTTCAGGCCCCACTCAAATGCAGAATTGAAAGATACACACGAGGAAGATTCAACAGATATGAGCAACTGATGGCACAAAACAGGGAAAGGGAGGAGGAGGAGAAAAGAGATTCTGACCCAAAATTATATGGCTGGGGTGTGATAGTACTATCACTAACAACAAATGGAAATAGGAAGATGAGGGGGATTATGGGTTCTGTTTTTGACATATTAGGACAGGATACTAGCAGGGAATTCGAAATGAAGAATGTGACCCAGGAGAGAGGGTCACCTCTGGAGATGCGCTTTGGGGACTGTCTGCATCAAATTGCTAATTAAACCCATGGGGTGCTAGGAAACTGCTAAAGGCAAGAGCCCAGAGAGAAAAGGGCCTGACAGACTGAGGAGGCAAGTCTGGAGAAGGGCTGCTCAGGGAGGGGCTGGTCCAGCATCCAGCGCCGCCCCAGGGCTGCTGAGCACAAGGCGGGTCAGGGGCATGGGAGGTTGTCTTTGAGTCACTTCATTCTCTGCTTTTCAAAACTCAAGCTTTTCTCTACTGTAAAAGTTGTTGATGTTTTCTTTCTAGTCCATCAGCCTACAGAAACTTTACCTAAACAAACAAACGAAAAAACTCAGCTTTTTTCTACCTCTCTAGTTCATGTCACATTCTAATGATCACTTTTCCTTGGGTTTTCCCCTTCTCTCAAGTTGAGTCTTTTTCATAGTTTCATTCTGTCTATTTGTCTTTTGGTGATCTGTCCACTATAAAATAGGTATATGCCCTCCTGACTTGCAGGAAAAACATGTTTTCTTTCTTTTATTTTTAAATGGCACAAGTGATAAATAAATTCATTGTACTAAAATTTTAAACAATTCAGAGACATAGGAGTAAAAAGTTATTGTCCTCAGTATCAACTAACTCCCTCCAGATCTGTGTGTGTGTTTGTGTTTGTGTGTGTGTGTGTGTGTGTGTGTGTGTATAATTAAGAGAGAGAGAGAGATGGAGAAATTTAGGTCACAGACTCACGTGTGCAGGAAATATAAGTGCATTTTTCTACAATTGAATTTAATTCATATTTTGAGTCCCATTATGCTAAATGATGGGGAAAGAAATCTCAGACAATTCAGAGTTGTCCCAGTCAGTTCCTAGGTAAAGACTTCAAAACCCTAATCAGCATCAAACTCTTTTGCTTCTCTTCTGACACTCCCCCTATTTCAAAACTTTGGACTGTTTAATCTGGGAGTAGGGTGACCAACTGCCATGGTTTTCCTGAGACTGAGAGATTTCCCAGGATGTGAGGTTTTCATTGCTAGAACTGGGAAAACTTGGAGCAAATAGGCACAAGTTGGTCTGCTGATCTGGGAATGGGAGCGGGGATGAGAGGGAGCAGGGTAGAAACTGGCACTGATTGAGCAAGGATTCCTCAAAACCTGTTGTTTCTGGCAAAACCTTTAAACTCTGAACCTTTCAGGGATTAGATTTTTTTTCAAAACTCACAAGAAAGAATTGAATCCTATTTTCAGTTTCTATTTCATTATCTCTTCCTGGATTTTTCCATGTTTGTCCTGCTCTTTTGAACCGACAGCTTCTTTGGGGCACATGGTCCCCTTTTGTATTAATTTCCTCCTCAGACAGTGCCTTTTGGATCACTTTCTTGGCCCACATTCTCTGCAACTCATAGAAAAGTCCCTCCCTCGATGGAGCCCAGAGGGGTTTCCCAGAACCCACATCCCATCCTAAGCTGAAGACTCAGCCTTGGCTTCTCTAGTCCAGATGTTCCCGAGGAAGTTCATCTTCCTCAGGAGTGCACAACATCTCTGGGGGGAGAGGAATGGGGGCTGGAGGAACATACTTGAACTTGTATTAATATTTATATTTTATTCTAATAAAAAATAAGAAATTAAGTGTTGTTAATATCAGTTTATAAATTGATGCCATCACCTGCACTCCATGTGATGTCAGATGGTCATCATACATAATATGTGAAAGATCCTGACTTATATAAAATGTGATCGATCCTGAAGGAAGAATGATAGCTCCCCAATGCGGAAGAGAATGACGGTGGCATTGGCATCCTCATTCTTTGTTTATTTTTGGCTTATTGCAAAGTATTGCTATTTATGTATGCCTGGGTAAGTGGATTAGATAGGGTGTAGGATCAACATTTAGTTAAAGCAAACATTATAAAATATTTAAGTAACTAAAAATATTGACAGATACCAATAACGTAAGCACAAGGGAACAAGAGTAGTAGCCTCGCCTTGCTGCAACCCTCCAACCCCCTGCCAGCTTATTCTTCTCCAGCCATGCTGGTCTCCTTGCTTTTCTTGAGACACACAGACAGTGCCTTTTGGCCACATTCCACCTCAGAGCCTTTTCCCCGGCTGCTCCCCCTGCCTGATGTGTTCTTCCCTCCGTTCTTGGCAGGGCTCTCTTCTTACCTCCTTCAAGTCTTTGCTCACAGGTCACTTGGCAACTTCATTTAAAATTTCAACTCCCACTCTGAGAGATGCATTTCTCATTCTCCTTATTCTGCTTTATTATTTTTTACTCTAATACTTACCATCTTCTAGCATATCTTATAATTTACCTATTTATTATATCTGTTATCTGCTCTGATATAAGCTTCTTGAGGACAGGGATATTTGTTTTGCTCTGTACTGCCAGTGCTGAGCACATGACAGACCATGCAGATGTGTTGAATAAAGGCTATAGACTTGCAGAACCAACATTCTTTCTACTCTTAGTACAAGCTCTTAATTAACCATTGTATTTAAAAACTTGTAAAGGTGCACCCCTGTCCATTTCTAGAAATTTCTTTTTTTTGAGACACGGTTTCACTCTGTCACCGAGGTTGGAGTTCTGTGATCTCGGCTCACTGTAACCTCTGCCTCCTGGGCTCATACCATCATCCCACTTCAGCCCCCCAAGTAGCTGGGACCACAGGGGCACGCCACCATGCCTGACTAGTTTTTATATTTTTGGTGGAGACAGGGTTTTGCCATATTGCCTGGGCTGGTCTTGAACTCTTGAACTCAAGTGATCTGCATGCCTTGGCCTCCCAAAGTGCTGGGATTACAGGTATGAGCCATCACATGTGGCCCATTTCTAGGAGTTTCCAGTGTGGTGCTTCATAAGTGCTCACACCACATACGTTAATTTGCCTGCAGTGGTCACCACTTAGCATCTCACCTGTTCTTCTGGTCCAGTCCTTGCTCACCTGAAACCACTTGGAGAAGCTTCAAGGCTAACATGGCCCTTTGGAGAAGAGCAATGTCTGCCTATGCCGGGGTGCTGCATTGCCTGTTTTCTTCATCAGACTTTCTTTATAGTAGGAGCTTAGTGTGACACTAAACATCTCACAGAAATCTCACAGGTGACTCTTGAATAGATAGTTGTTTGCTATCCTCCCCTCTTTCTACCACGGGCACAAAACTAGTTTAATGATAATTAGATTCTCACATGCTTTTCTCTTCCTCACGTTTTGTCTCTTCCTCACTAAACACTGCTTCTCTATTTGAACGTAAAACATAGCTCTCATGCTTATGAATGTGTGTGAATATCTATTTGTACATGTCTGTGTGGGAGGTAGTGGCAAGAGGGGAAGAAAATGTATCTACAGTAGCAACAGCTAGCAAAAGTTGACCTGTGTATTAATACTATTCAGTTATGAGTGAAATATGATATTAAACATTGTAGATGCTATCCCCTAAAACTTATCACACTTCCTGAACTTGCATATTCTACCTTTCATGGACATGCTCTTGTCTCTCAAGACCCAACTCAAATATCATGTCCTCTGTGAAGCCTTCTCAGCTCTCTCAGGGTGAGAAAAAACTACACAGTTGTTGACTAGAATGAGTAAAGTTCACTAAGTGAAAGCTTAATTGAGCAAACACCTTATTATGTTAGCTTCTCAACATATGTATGAATAATGTACAGAAATAAAGTGCTATAAGAGGATCAAGTAGCTTTAAAACCACTAGAGAAACAATTGCTAATTGCAGAGGGCTAGCTGAAATGCATTTGAAAAGCTGCAGGGTAGATGGAAGTGGGAAATAGTTTGCTTTGCCTATTACCAGAAAGAGTAATGATCTTACTCATTAGCGCAAGAAGAGTGGCATTGTAACTGTGGGAAGAACTCCCAAACTCTAAGTTGACTAGCCTCTAAATCTCTGTGGGAGAGGATATATCCCTTTCCTACTTCTGGGAAATTTTCTGTCTCTCTTCCTCTCCTCCTCCTCTTCCCTTTCTCCTTTCTCCTCTACCTTCCTTTCTCTTTTCTTTTTTTTTTTTTTCCTTTTTTAACATCATGCCACTTGTGGTATCTATTGTGGATCAAGAGAAAGTCATAGTTTCTTTTTATTCCCCCCCCTTTTTTTTTTCTTAGACAGGGTCTTGCTCTGTCACATAGGCTGGAATGCAATGGCATGACCATGGCTCACTGCAGCCTCCACCTCCTGGGCTTAAGTGATCCTCCCACCTCAGCCTCTCTAGTAGCTGGGGATACAGGTGCACCAGCACCACTCCTGCCTGAGAAAGTCATAGTTTTTCATGACATTTTTTTGAGCTTTGAACTTACTTCAAACACTGCCTTGTTAATGTGCAAGTTTGTTAACATTTTAATAATAATGATAGGCGGTATTTTTGCGTGCTTATTATGTACTTAGTACTGTTCTAAGTAATTGACATATTAAGTTATTTAATACTAGAACAACCCCATGAGGTGGGTGGGCATTACTATTATTATTATTTGCAGATGAGGAACTTGAGATGCGGAGAGGTTAACTTGCTCCAAATCACTCCGCTATGAGAGCTGAGCCCAGGAAGTTTGTTTCTAGAATCTTTACTCTTCACCACCATGGCAGTTTATTGTCTGTCTCTCTTTAAGGAAACCATTAATACTGCTATTCAAATGTACATTTTACATAATAAACACAGGAAAGTGCATTCTTTAGGAAAACTAGAGAGATGATAAATCTATCACACACAGTATTTTTAAAGCTTATAATGATTAGGGTGATTCTAGAGGGAAAGCTAGCACCAGGAAACACACACACATACACACACACACACTTTTTATTGTAATTAATGCTTCAGTATCTCCCCAAGTCTCTTAAGCTTTACATTATTTTATTTTATATTACTTTTTTTTTGGAGATGGAGCTGGAGTGCAATGGCTTGATCTCGGCTCACTGCAACTTCCGCCTCTCAGGATCGAGCCATTCTCCTGCTTCAGCCTCCTGAGTAGCTGGGATTACAGGCACCTGCCACCCTGCCTGGCTAATTTTTATATTTTTAGTAGAGACAGGGTTTCACCATGTTGGCCAGGCTGATCTCGAACTCCTGACCTCAGGTGATCCACCTGCCTCAGCCTCCCAAAGTGCTGGGATTACAGGCGTGAGCCACCATGCCCAGCCTATTTTATATTACATTTATTTGTTGCCCACAACCCTCTGTAATGTAAGTCCCTTGAAGGCAGGGATTTTATCTGCCCTGTTTACCTCTGTTTTCCTGATGACTAGAACATACCCTGGAATACAGTAGATGCCAAATAAAGAAGACCCAGATTTTATGTATTTATAACATATTATTTATCATATACTTATTATATTTTATTATTACAGATTATATATTATTTTACATTATATTTTGGTATATTATGCATAAAACAATTATGTGTATATAAATTATGAGTATATAAATTATAAATTATGAATTAAATATATTTAAAATAAACATAATATACTTAAATATTATAAATATACACATGTATATAAAGTTTATTATAAACAAATCAAAATACTAACTGCCCATTAACATTTATTAAATTGAGTGCTTATTTTTTGGAATTATTCTTCACTGCCTTTTGCCTATTAACGATGTTACAGTTCTTATTTTAATAATATGAGTTATTAAAGTCTATTTTAAAAATGAAGGCATAGTCAACCCATAAGTAACATTTAGTAGACTATGGATGGCAGTTCTTTTTGTTTGTTTGTTTTTCAGACAGGGACTCACTCTGTCACCTGGGCTGGAGTACAGTGGTATGAT
Source organism: Homo sapiens (assembly GCF_000001405.40). Classification (NCBI taxonomy): domain Eukaryota; kingdom Metazoa; phylum Chordata; class Mammalia; order Primates; family Hominidae; genus Homo; species Homo sapiens. The sequence goes on along the minus strand of NC_000012.12, from coordinate 45,629,115 downwards.
CACAGCTCACTGCAGGCTCGACTTCCTGGGCTCAGGCAATCCTCCTGCCCCAGGCTCCCAAGCAGCTGGGACCACAGGCACATGCCATCCTGCCCAGCCAAATTTTCTATTTTTGTTATTTATTTATTTATTTTATTTATTAGAGACAGCATATGTTACCTAAGCTGGTCTCAAACTCCTAGGCTCAAGTGATCCTCCCACCTTGGCCTCCCAAAGTGCTGGGATTACGGGAATGAGCCACCACACCTGGCCAATGGATGGCAGTTCTGTTTTAAAAACAACATCCAAAGTGATGTTAATAAACACCCATCTTCGCCCTATGTTCCAACCTCACAGAGACAGCAATTCCAGAAAATCCCAGTCATAGCTTTTTTCCTATCTTTTTCCTGTGAATTTTTGCTTTATCTTCAGGACTGCACTAGGATGGTAGTCCCCATGAAGGCTTCTCAACATTTCCCTAGAAGAATATCTCACTTTTCCCTCTGGGATCTCAGAGCTCTCTGTAATTATTTATACATCTGTATCCCGGACTAAATTTTGCTGTCTTAGGAGTAGGAATTATGCCTTATGTATTTTTGTATCTCTGGTATCTGGCACATAGTAGCTATTATGTCTGAAAGAATAATAATCTTAACAAAGTACTGTGAGGGGAAACCAGTCAATTTAAATAGCAAGTAAAATGAGTGAAGGTAACATTTTTAGTATGATATCCTGTATTTGAAGTACTGTGTATAGTGTTACATTTTACATGGTGGGATGCTAGACTCAAACCATCCTTACAATATTTTTAAAAGTTTGCGGTCAGAAGAATTGTCATTATTTCTAAGGATGACACATTAAAGTCTGTTAATTGAAGGAAAAAAGTAAAAATGCTGTATGTGCTGGGCCAGCGGAAGCCCTTCTTGGTGTTGATAGTACACAAACAAATTTATTCTGTGCAATTAGTGTAGAATTCTCCAGCAATGAATTAGAATTTTCCCTTCCAAAGGTGACCTCCCTTTCTAATTTATGTATCGGCAAAAGCTACCTCCAGCATAGAAAACAATATAAAAATAACTTCATGTATTTATAAGTAACTACAGTTATAAACCAGTACATACCACTTTTGAGAAAATAGTGTAAAATTCAAGTGTAGGTGGTAGTTTGATTATGGAGATCTGTCATCTGCTTTCAGATACATTTCAAGAAGTGCACTGAGCTAATTAAATGTATTATTCCTCCTCTTCCTTTGAAGGCAAGCGTATGCAAATTTCCCGAGGCAGATCATATTCATAAGAAAAAAGCACCACACTCTTGAGTTGGCCCCAACTCACAGCTCTTTCTAGTAACAAATGTTATAGGTGAATTGAGAGGGAGCGGGGAGGATGTTTTGGCAGAATTTTCCATGGGAGGAAAGGGAAGTCTTTGCTAAGGAAGGTCTTTTCTCCCTTAGCAAAGTTAGGAATCTTCAATGCTTTTAAATAGAATACAAGTCACATTAGCTACAAAAAGAAACCCCGGTCCTCATCTCTGTAACAGTGCCTCCTAACGAGAAGGCACCAGCTATTTCTTTGTGTTTTTTCCTGGAGTTAAACAGTCACGCACATCTGGTTTGGAAATTGAGAATTCTCCCTGTTTTAGGTTAAATGCAAGAGTGAAATAAGAAAGGTAAATCAGCCATCTGCTGAAGAGCTCACCAACCAGGCTACAGGGGGCAGGCAGCATTTACCTCTCAAGGAATCTGGGTTTCAAAGTTTTCACAGTAACCCATTCGTCTTCCTGATGCCACCCCGTTCTCTGGAGCCTGGCTAATGATCTACTAAACATATGGCTGGGTCTGCTTTCCTTTTCTATTTTCATTAAATTTAAACTTTTGGAGGACAGGGCTATGCACTTCTATATATTTTCTTGTGGCTGTAGAACACCTGCAATACTTTTATGCTCAGTCTTGAGCAATATTTGAGATGATGACTCTGGACTGGTCTTGAACAATTCTATTGAGCAATGTTAATTCTTTCTACACCCAAATTACTCCATTGATTATATCTTTTTAAGGAGGATACCAATAACACAAACAATAGATTTTAAAGGGTTATCAATGCAATAAACATAACATTAAAAATCTCCTAGGTGATCCTCTAAATTTTACACATCAGGTAAAACAAGCACATTTACTAGGGAAGGTGTATGCATTTTTATAACAAAATATTTGCAACACTTATTGGTAATCTGGGAACATGTAATTAAAATTCTGGTACCTTAAATACTTTCAGTATTAATTACAAGAGTTTGGACTAAACTCACACATATTCAATTGCTTTAAATGAACAGGGAAAAGATGAAATTGTCCAGGTGTGTCTTATTCTTTCCCCTTGTATTTATTAATTTCAAGTAAGGTTTGAGGTTTTCTAAATACATTTCAGATATTTCTAAGAATTGTGGTCAATGCTATTGCTACTAAGAACCATAATTTTTGCATCTGCCCTTTAGAAGAAGTTTTTAAGGAACATGTTCCCCCGCTCCCATCGCCCCAAAACCTGGCCCAGCAGAAAGACATTAAGATAATGCTCTCTTCTAATCCCAGTTCTATGACTTTCTCCTGTGGGAGCTGAGAAATGACAGTTAACCCTTCCAAGCTACAGCTAGCTTCCTTATCTATGAAATGCAATTAATAATTCCCACTTATAGGTTGATTGAGAGGGTAAAACCAGGTAATCTATATACAGAGTGCCTGGGTAAACAAAACGAATGGAACCTATTAATAAACGTCATGGACATATTAAAGATCTTTTTAGATGACAGCAACAATCAAAGTTTATAATGCACATTTTGAAAAAGATAAGTTGGCCGGGCGCGGTGGCTCACGCCTGTAATCCCAGCACTTTGGGAGGCCGAGGCGGGCGGATCACGAGGTCAGGAGATCGAGACCATCCCGGCTAAAACGGTGAAACCCCGTCTCTACTAAAAATACAAAAAATTAGCCGGGCGTAGTGGCGGGCGCCTGTAGTCCCAGCTACTTGGGAGGCTGAGGCAGGAGAATGGCATGAACCCGGGAGGCGGAGCTTGCAGTGAGCCGAGATTGCGCCACTGCACTCCAGCCTGGGCGACAGAGCGAGACTCCGTCTCAAAAAAAAAAAAAAAGAAAAAGATAAGTTTTTTTTTTTCATTTTGAGACAGGATCTTGCTCTGTTGCTTACGCTGGCCGGAATGCAGTGGTGCCAAGATGGCTCACTGGCAGCCTTGACCTCCCGGGCTCAAACAATCTTCCCACTTCAGTCCCCTTCCCACCCCTCACTACCCCAACTACCCCACGAACACTGGGACTACAGGTACATGCCACCACGCCCGGCTAATTTTTAAAATATTTTGTAGAGATGAGGGTCTCATCATGTTGCTCAGGCTTATCTCAAACTCCTGGGCTCAATGAATCCTCCCACCTAAGTCTCCCAAAATGCTGGGATTACAGGCGTGAGCCACCGCGCATAGCCGAAAAAGATGTTTTAAATCACTGAGAAAAATTACTTAAATTTGCCATCATTCAATTTTCCATAAATACTTAAAGACAGTTTACATTAGTTAACTCTCCCTGTTTCTAAAAATGCAGCCGGAAATTTCCTTAATGATGATTCTGATTCTCGCTGTTAACTTGTTGCAGATCACTCAATTTGTTTCTGCCTGCAATCCATCCTTCTAATTCAGCCATTGACAATCACTTTTGAATTTCTACTTTGTGCTGTGTGCATTAAAATATAAATGCAGCTGGTCGCAGTGGCTCACGGCTGTAATCCCAGCCCTTTGGGAGGCCAAGGTGGGTGGATCACTTGAGGTCAAAAGTTTGAGACCAGACTGGCCAACATGGAGAAACCCGGTCTCTACTAAAAATACAAAAATTAGCTGGGCGTGGTGGCACGTGCCTGTAATGCCAGTTACTTGGGAGGCTGAGGCAGGAGAATGGCTTGAACCTGAGAGGTGGAGGTTGTAGTGAGCTGAGAATGCACCACTGCACTCCAGCCTGGGTGACAAAGCAAGACTCCATCTAAAATAATAATAATAATAATAATAATAATAATAATAATAATAATAATAAAATATGAATGCTCCCCACAAGAGAATGGAAGTGAGAGAGCTGGCTGCAGTTCAGGAACAATCAGACTTGGGGGTAAGCTTCATCTTCTGAACTTGCTGTCTTTGTGGCATGAGAGGTAACCTTAAACCTTGCCTTATTGGTTTCTTCATCTATGCAATGGAAACACTTCCTCTCCATCTAATAAGGTTGTTGTGATAGCAGATGAGATAATGCATGTAAAAGAACTTTATAAATAATAAAGCATGGTAGAAATATAATGTATTATTCATAATTAGTATCGTTAATAATAATGTCAGTTGGATTTAAGTCTCAGTATTATTTTGAAAACTTCTTTCCTGAGAGACCAGCATCTCTGCATTTGCTGCCTATCAATTTAATCAATTAATTGCAACTCTCTTCAACCAGTTATATTGGCAAGTCTGTTTGCCTTGCACTTATAAGATTGTATAGACAAGATTATAATTATGATTAACCACACATGGAGTTTAGAATTAATGCTCATATTCACTTTGATCCCACCTGAAATCACATTTTTGGTTAAGTGGGGAAATCATGACATGTATGTATGTGGCAGTGGGGTAGCTCTATATTTTACAGACCCCTTAAATTCTCCTTATTGTAGGAATTAAGAAACAAAAAAGATTAACAATTTCCAAAGAATCCAAATATTTCCAAACAATTTCAGATTTCCAAAATATTTCTGAGATGTTTCCAAGATGTCCAAATAACTTTTGAAACATAGGCTAATAGTTTGACCAACGCTTGACCCAGCCTTTCTGGTTGTGAAGTATAGAGCTTTCTAGCAGAAAATTTGGCATCAGTTTTATAGCATATTCCATGGGTGGAGCCAAGTGAAGACTTTCTCCTAGAGGGCACACCTCTGCTCGTGAGAATCTTGTGGGATATGGGCAGGGTTGGTCATAAACATAGCAGGAGTGGCTGCTTATAGAATGTGACATTGGGGGTGTCAAGTATTTGTTGTTAAATGTCACCCCATATCAGGTGTCATTGACCTTGAAATGCTACCAGTAGGAGAGAGAACACATTGTTCCTTGGGGAAGATTTTGTGGCAGTTTAAACTGCAAACATAGTCCTTCATCAAATAAAAGGTAAACTATCCTTAGACCAGGTGGACTCATATCTGTAATCCCAGCACTTTGGGAGGCCAAGGTGGGAGGATTGTTTGAGGCAAGGAGTTTGAGACCAGCCTAGGAAACACAGTGAGACTCCTGTCTCTACAAAAAAAATAATAATAATTTACAAAACTTAGCCAGGTGTGGTGCACACACCTGTAGTCCCAGCTACTCAGGATGCTGAGTTGGGAGGATCACTTGAGCCCAGAATTCCAGGATACAGTAAGCTATGATCACACCACTGCACTCCAGCATGGGTGACAGAGTGAGACCCTGTCTCTGAAATAAATACATAAATAAATAAGATAAACTATCCCTAGCACACAGAAAAGCACTTAGTACCTGGTATGAGCTTAAGGAGCAGACCGGTAAATAATCTATAATGAACAGAAAATCAGACGGAATCCCTTCCTTCTTCCTCCTTCCTATGTATCCCACAGGCTTCAGGGAGTGCTAGCTCCTCCTCCAGCTCTAGGATTTCATCCTCAATCAATCCTGGGAATCCCCAACTCCTCTGGAGTGACTGGCCCAGGAGTGTGGCTGAGATCAATCAACTCACGGCATTTCACCGCCACCTGAAGATACTTGATCTAGATTGGCCCAGATAGGTTGAAAACACGGATTTCTATTCCATGGTTAAAGGATAGTTTTTTCCTCTCTCTTTCTTGCTAGATGTAACCAAGAAAGCTGTGCCCCCATTGTTGCTGCCCTCAATGGCTGCCTGAGGACAATGATAACACACTGGTGAGGGTAGAACCAAATGGACTAGAGAAACAGAGCCCCATGCTTGCAGTGTGGGCATCTTGTTCAGGAAACAATAATTGTCCTTATTGTTTAAACAGTTTTGAGCCTAAAATAGTCTCACATATCTATATATTTTGGCCCAAAGCATTCTAGCTACTATAGCCCTCAGTAAATACGTGTTAAATAATTTGCTAAATGAACAAATAAGGGTAAAAGTGAGTGAGTAGAAGAAACCAGGGAGGCTGAAAGAAGAGTGCAAGCTGGATCCATGAAGAGCTTGGATTCCTGGAGCTGCGGGTGAGTTTCTGAACTGGGGCCTTGGCCAGGGAGCTGCTGTGTGGTGGCTCTGAGAGGAGACCTGTGAGGGGGCCCATGTGAGTGTCCCGGAGCCACACTGGGCAAGAATGTCTGGCAGGAGTCCATGTGAATGTGGACTGAACACTGTCTGTGCCCTGGGCTCGCTCCAGTGGTTCTATATGCAGGAGCATGCAGTTCACTTTCATTTGCTTATTTATTTACCAGAATTGCAAATTCCATGAGATCAAGTACACTGTCTTCTTTGTACATTGTGGAATCCCCTCAATGGCTGGAAAAGTGTCTGCCACAAGGTAGAAACTCCATTCATATTTATTCTTTAATAATAGCTTTATTGAGATATATCATAAAATTTAGACCTTTAAGTGTTCAAGTGGTTTTTAGTTAGTCACATAATTGTGCAACTGTCACCACTATCTAATTTCACAATATTTTCATCACTTGAGAAAGAAGCTTATTTATTAGCAGACACTCCCCATTTCCTTCTACCACCATCCCCTGGCAACCACAAATCTACTTTCTGTCTATAGATTTGCCTATGCTTGACATTCTAAATAAATGAAATCCTATAATAGGTAGCCATTTGTGACTTTTCTTTCTTTTAGTGTGTTTTTAAGTTTCATCCATGTTGCAGCATATGTCAGCACTTCAATCCTTTCTGCCTTAAGAATATACCACATTTTGCTTATCCATTCATCAGTTTGATGTATATTTTTTTCCAGTTTTGGGCTGTTATGAATGATGTGGTTATGAACATTTATCTAAAGGTTTTTGTGTAGGCAAGTTTTTAATTCTATTGGGTATGTAGCCAGGAGTGGCACTGCTGGATCATATGGTAACTCCCTGTTCAACTTTTTTAGGAACTCCTAGGTGTTTTCCACAGTGTACCATTTTACATTTCCACCAGCAGTGTGTGGGGGTTCTGATTTCTCCACATTTTCACCAACACTTGGTATTACCTGTCTTTTCAATTTTAGCAATCCTTGAGGATGTGAAGTGGTATTTCATAATGATTTTTTGATACATATTTTTAAAAGAGCCAATGAATATGGATCAAAAACCTCATTCGACATGTGTCATGAGGTTTTGCTCTGCCACTCTCTGGTTATCCTGTGAGGATGTCTCCCTGACCTCTCCCAGAACAAAGGAAAGAGCAAAGGCAATTCCTTGAAATGTAGCGGGCTGGTAGGGGGTTTGCCCTGGCACAGATGTGTCCTTCAGGCTCTGACTGTGAAGAACAGGCTCTGTCATTGCACAAAGACAGTGGCTTTGCCCAGATGGTGTCTTGCTGTATGTGCAGGAGCATTACAATGTAGAAATACTGGAAACATTAATGGAAAGGTATAAGAGGGGCTTGCCTGGACTTCACAAGAGACCAGGAGAGGGAAGTTCTTCTAGTGAAACATGGCAAAGTTGGGGAGTAATGGTAGGAATGGAGCTTCCATGTCTCTCCTTCCCTCTGCCATCCTCCAGCAAGCAGCCCTTGGGGGTTTCTTAGCAGGAGTGCTCTTGGCACTTTGAGACATTCTTCCTTGGGTTGGACTGTCCCTGGCCTTGGCCCATTAAATGCTAGTATCCAACACCCCCTGCAGCATCTCCTTCCTCCAGTCACTGTGACAACCAAAAATGTCTCCACCTGATTTCCAGGCTCCCTCTATGGCAATGGTATCCTTCCTGCCCTTGAGACCAGCTGTTAGAAGAACTAAAAGGGAAATCTGATGTTTCAGACATAAGAAGTCCCCAAGTCTTTTTTTTTTTTTTTTGAGACAGAGTCTTGCTCTGTTGCCCAGGCTGGAGTGCAATGGCATGATCTTGGCTCACTGCAACCTCCACCTCCCAGGTTCAAGAGATTCTCCTGGCTCAGCCTCCTGAGTAGCTGGGATTACAGGCACCCACCAGCACGCCCGGCTGATTTTTTTTTTTTTTTTTTTTTTGTATTTTTAGTAGAGTCAGGGTTTCAGCATGTTGGCCAGGCTGGTCTCGAACTCCTGACCTCAGGTGATCCACCTCCCAAAATGCTGGGATTACAGGCATGAGCCACTGCGCCCAGCCCCCAAGTCTTAATTGAGATTCCTGGGCTAAGAGAAATCATACATGATACAACTACTAGGTTAACCTAAACACTGAATTTCACATTGGGCAGGAATTATGTAAATGTGTGTGGTAACTTATTTTATGCTGATCAGAAACTCTGACCATATGATACATCTCTGATTAATAAAATGGAAAATGAAATTTAGCAAATATGGCTTATTTAGTAGAAAATATCTTCAGTAACATAGGCTTTGGAGAGTAGTTGGGGATAGGACAAGTGATTTTTAAAAAGATCTCTGCTGAGGCAACATTGCATGACATTGAGAGCACAGCATCTGGAGCCACTTGCTAACTGGGTCATTTTGGGCAAGTTACTTGACCTCTCTGCTACTCATCTGTGCAAATCCACCTGTAACATAAGGGAAAATTTCCCACCTGTTAGTGTTATGGGGATGATTAAATCAGCCAATTATGTAAAATGCTTGAGCCTGTGACATAGCAAGGGTCATACAAGTGCAGCTATGATGATAATTCATGGCTAAACTGCTGTGGCACAGTCCCTCGTTTTAGAAATGAAGACATGAAGAGCTGGGGCAATTGGAAGACTTGAAAGCCTTGTCACCAAACTCAGATTCAAGCCAGACACACATTTCTTGACCCCCACACCCACATTCTACCCCATTATTGCCTCTAGTAAAACACAAAATTTCAGACGTAACTTCTTTCTTCCCATTATGATTTCTGCACTCAACTCCATCAGACAGAGGAAAGATGGTGGCAAAGAGAGATATAGCCTTCATTAAGCCTTTCAGTACAATTGTACTACTTCTTTTGGTTTGACCAGATCGAGACTGTCAGTTCTCTGGATGTGCCTCAGGGTTTGTCGCTGGGTCAGCAGGCTTCTGCCTCACTGATTCTGAGGAGGAAAGGGGCTAGCTCAAAGAATGTGAAAGCCATTTGTAGATGAAGCTAAGTTTTCCTGTTATCCCTGTGCTCCTATAATTGAAATAATAATAATGATGGCTAATGATTAAGATGGATTTCTACTGGGTTTTGATCAATTAGTTGACTGGGTAAAGTTATGTTGCAAAGAGTAAGTTTGGAATTAAGCCTGTACCCCAATAATCTTGATGAAAAGAGAAAGTGACATTGTACTTCAAATAATGAGCCAGAATGAAGATGGTTCTTTGTGAGAGGCTTGTTCTCAGGAATGCACAGACACCTCTTTCTCTGAGAACACTTATAGTTTTACCTCATTAGAAGCCAAAGGCTGAATTAAATCAGTGACTTTCAAGTTCATGCCCGTGATCCACAGCTAGATGGACATTTTATATCACAACCCAGTATAGACACACACAACAAATGAAAATTATTATGAAACAGTTTTTACCCTTGTTAAATGGGATGCATACTGATATTTTCTTTTCATTTTTATTTCATTTAAAAAATACTGTTTCAAAAATGGTTTCTAAAAAAATACTGATTGTAATCCACTAGATTGATGTTAGGACCCACTTCTCACATCTGACCTGCAGTTTGAAAACACCATATTAAATGGATCTTGGGGTCTCTTTTTTAGTTCTAACACTATAATAATGTTGAATAATTAGAATATTAAGAATACAGGCCGGGCGCGGTGGCTCACGCCTGTAATCCCAGCACGTTGGGAGGGCGAGGCGGGCAGATCACGAGGCCAGGAGATCGAGACCTTCCTGGCTAACAAGGTGAAACCCCGTCTCCACTAAAAAATACAAAAAAAATTACCCGGGGTGGTGGCGGGCCCCTGTAGACCCAGCTACTCGGGAGGCTGAGGCAGGAGAATGGCGTGAACCCGGGAGGCGGAGCTTGCAGTGAGCCAAGATCGCACCACTGCACTCCAGCCTGGGCGATAGAGCGAGACTCCGTCTCAAAAAAAAAAAAAAGAGAGAATACAGTCGCTGCTCTCCATGCCTCATCTTGAAGTGTTGAACGACCATGTATTTAGGGGTATTCGTGTAGGGAAAACATTTGCTTTTTGCATACCTTTCACTTCCTTCTGGGGTTTATCACATCCTCAAAAGGGAAAGGAGGCATTTGTATAGCCTGAAGTAAATCTGTAAGTGTATATTTTGTGTATTAGTGACTCATTTGTACTAAACTTTAGGTAATGTTATGAGGGAGCTTAATTCTAGTGTCTATAATTTTCAGTGAATACATATTTATTATTTTTAAATATATGATTTTAGCCTAAAAAATCAAGTTGCAAAGAAGTCTCTCATGCCATTATTTGTATTTTATAAAGCTCAAGTGTGTACTTGTATTTACGTAGAGTATTTTCACAAAAGAAACTGGTAACTGCCTATTTTACGAGGGGAAGACTGGGGCGTTAGGGATTCTGTTTGGGTAAGAGATTTCCATTTTGCTACATGCATTTTTGTACAGTTTGGGAGGAAAATGCCTTATTAGCTTAGAGAAAATGTTGGTACATATAGTTAACATTTCTGTAAAGTAAATGGATTGGATTACTGTGATCTCCGAGATTCCTTTCATTCTGAAAGTTTAGGATTTTAAACTCTTATTTTGTGTGCTCAGATAGCCATTGTATATCCAAATCAAGTTGAAGAACCAGTTCTTGCTACTAAAGAATTTATATTCTCTAGGCTGGGCATGGTGGCTCATGCCTATAATCCCAGCACTATGGGAGGCCGAGGCGGGTGGATCACTTGAGGTCAGGAGTTTGAGACCAGCCTGGCCAACATGGCAAAACCCTGCCTCTACAACAATACAAAAATTAGCCGGCCGTGGTGGCAGGTGCGTGTAGTGCCAGCTATTTGGGAGGCCGAGGCAGGAGAATTACTTGAATCCGGGCAGCGGAGGTTGCAGTGAGCCAAGATCACACCACTGCACTCCACCTGGGTGACAAAGCGAGACACCGTCTCAAAAAAAAGAGAGAGAGAAAAAAAGAATTTATATTCTCAGAAGGATGGGAATGGATATGCATATGTTAAACAGGACATGAGAAATATATTGTCATTTATAGAAAAACTAGGCTGTCTTTTGCAGATTGAGTTGTTCTAAATAGTCTTTAAAAATTAACAGCTATTTTTAGCTACAAAAATAAAAAAATAATTTTAGATAGAAATCCATCTAAAATATACTCTGTACTTCACTACTTCACCAGGAAATGACATGACTACAATGAACATACCATTATTATGAACTGCAGTTACTAACTAAACAGTGGCATGTCATGGTAGTATCATTAGAGTCATTTGAGGTACATACATTTGAGGCTATTTGTTCTCAATTTAATGACTTCATCCTGCAGGTTTTAGTAGTTTTGTTTTTCTGGCTTCCTTTATAGATTACATTGTTGACAACACTCAGAATGCTGACTTGGAGGAAGAAACTCTCTGTTCCACTTCCAATTCATTGGCCTAATATGTCAGCTAACAACATTTTTATGAGAAGAGTAGGCAAAGTGTTCATGGGCTCTGAGTTGGGCCTCACTTTAAATAGCATACATGCATTTTAATAGATGGACTTTGTAATATCTCCTTCAGCTGCTTAGACCTCTGAGCTTTATTAGTTCATGGTTCTTGTCTGTGTTCCTAATAGGTGTGATTGTCTTATGGCTTGGAACATGGCCTAGAAATAACTAAAAGGATGTGCAAGAATGGCAAGAAATGGAGGGAAGAAGCCAACGGCAAACAGAAAAGTGAAAAGCACAAACACGAAGGGCTTTAAATAAGGAGTTACAGAATATTTAAATATTAGGGATTCTGTCAAGGAATATGCAAATCAATTACTAGAGCATATATTGAAGAATAGTTATTTCATTCTTTTGTTCAAGGAAGGATTAAAGATTAGTAGGAGCTGGGAAAAACAACATTCTTGCCCATGTAACATAAATTGCTAAAAAGAAAAGGAAAATTAGGACAAATACCTATCTTTTTCTCTTTATTTTTAAAATATTGAATTCATATTATACATTTACATCAATTATCTCATCTGATTCTCATAATTAGGGTTATAAACAGCCAAAGAACCAGAGCACCTCCAGACTGCCTAACCCCTGTGGCGCCATTCCCAATGTGCTGGGATTGAGGGGCACCAATCACAGAAATACAATGTACGTCATGCCCCTGGAGATGGATGCATGGCTGCTGACAGTCAGTTACAAAGCTTTCTCCCTCCACATAGTTGCTCAGTTTTTATGACAGTGTGAAGATGAAGCCTGAGTTAAAAACAACAACAGCAACAACAACAGCAACGGCAACAACAAAAACCTTAAAGCAAACCTTGGAAGTGGAATTGGTTGGAAATAAGCATTAAGAAAAGCCACAGGGTTAAACTCTCACCCCCAGGGCTGTGCAGGGAACTTTCTGATCTTTCAATTGAAGGAAACCCCAACCTCAGGACCATGGGCACCAGCAGAGCATTCAGAATATGCACCTACTGCTACATATTTTTGAACTATTTATGATATTCTCTTCAGCTCCCCTGGATGTGCATTTGACACACCAAAATGCATCACCTGAAGTAAAAAAATTCTCTGAGGGAGGGGTGCTCAAGAACTTAACCAAAACAAACTTCAAACTGAGCCAAACTATAAAATAAAACCAGACTACCCACCCCAAACCCCCATGAAGCAAGATCAGATTTTATAGAGCTTTGTTTATCCACGGAGAAGAGATGAGCTAGTGACTGGAACATAGTATGACGTCTGCATCATATTCAGACTTGAACAAAACATTTAATTTGACATGCTATGCAATTTCCCCCGACACCTTCATTCCACATAGCCTTGATAACAACACAGCCACGCAGACTGAAGGAGGCTGAAGCTGCCATCTGTAAAAGGTAACAACAGTGGCATTCTGTGCAGTTCCGAGGGTCTGTCTCTTAGCAAGTCACCATAGTTTGTATTTTATGTATGCATTAATAATCCAGAAAAGAGAATGAACAGAATGCTCATGGCAGTTGTTGAAAAGACTAAATTGGGAGGTGTTACAAGCTTTGAGAAATGGCCAGGATATGGACAGCAGTATGGTTCGGAAGAACCAAAACAAGTCAGAAATAAGGGATGAAAAAAATGAAATTGTTTTCAGAAAGATGCAAACAAATATGTGGCCAAAAAAAATCATGTCAGAAGCATTCATTGAAGAAGAGAATCTGGAAAACTGGGATTGTTAGTAGTAATCAAAGAAGGAGGGAGCACCAGGAGAAATGTGGACAAATTTACAGTGAATATTAACCACAAAAAGACAACAGGACTGTGTGAGTCAGTGTGGAAGCCCGGAGGGGGAAGGGAGGCTATGGCCTCTCATACAACTGTAGCTAGAATTACTCCCAGACCACTGTATTCAATTTCAAGCACCTAAATAAACAAGCAGTGTTGACAATCTTGGAGGGAAGTCAGAGATAAATAATGAAAATGATTAATGGAAGGGAAGGATTGATTTATGAAAAAAGATTTATGGAGTGTATCCTGTGGTTAAGCAATGGTAAACTATGCAAAGACAATTTGGTACAGTCTAGAAATGATGACAATGCCTATACTTCATATTTAGGTGTAGAAATGTAAGGAGAAGAAAGGGACTGCAAGGATAAAATAAGATAGAATTAATTAATGAAAGTAGAAACATAAGACTGAATTTTCAACAGTGTTTATTGAACTTGTGATAAGACCAGTACCTGTTTTGATGAACTGCTCAATTATAAATCATATTTTTAAGATACATGCTGAATCCACTGTCAGTTCTATCATTATAATCAGAAAGCCCATTGAAAGGGATAATACCGTCCTGACAGCAACATGGCTAGAACAAATGGGTCTCTTACTTATAATTTCACTGTTTCTCTTCTTTGACCTATCAGCAAACAAGCTTGCTTTTAACAGAATTCTAAAATAGATGCTTTTGTCAGCTTAATAAGGAGAAATTACAAGGGGCAAAAAGCTCCTTTTTATTCCTATTTTAAGCAAAACTTCTATACTCCATCTTACTGAATGGCCTCACCACCCTGCATCCAGAAATTATGTGTAAATGGGAAAGAAAAAAAGAAAGAAAGAAATCTGAGGCTTTGTACAGCTTTAAAAGACATCTGCCTACTTATCTTCACTTTAGTGAAAAGGTTAGTTTTGTTTTAAAACACTTTTGGGAATTTTCTTTGTCATTGATTGAAAAGACAAAGAAATGTTTTTTATAATCTATATAAGTGGTCATATGATACCACTTTCAACATATTTTAAGACTGAGACTGCAAGACAACCCAATTTTTATTCCCAGTTTCCCTTGATCATATTAGAAGTACATATTATTTGTTGAAGGAAAACAAGACATTCACCATAGAATGAAGTACAGAAAAAGATAAGTATCCTGGCCGTGGGTCTCCAGTCTAATCTGAAACTCTTGGGGAAAATGAGGACCACTTCAGCATAATTATAAGTGGCACTGAGCATATCACTGGCAAAGTTGAAGAATTAAGCCAGAATCATAAGAAGATCTGGTTATATTGTCAAATATATCCTAGAGTAAATCTTTGAGGCCTAAAGAGACTGAAACTACTTAGTTAATGGCAAGATACATTTAAATGGTAAAATAAAAGTGCTCCACGGCTTAGCTTGAGCATAAACTTGAAGCTCAGCTCTAACTCTGTTGACATATCTGCAGTGAGACCTTAACAAATGACAGTGATCCTGTGTTTCATGGTATCAGCTACTACAGTAGGTAACATTTGCCTAGCACAGAGTTGGCACTCAACAGATATATGCTGAATGAATGAATGAATGAATGAATGAATGAGTGGAGGAATTAACTGGCCCAAATGGGAAAAGGAGGTGGTGCAATAGTTGACCTTAAAAATCTCCATGTGTTAACTGCACCTAAAACCAGCTCTTATTTCTACAACATCAATCAAATGTGACTGTATTGTTTCTTCCCCCTTCCAAGTTCCTCTCTCATTCTTTTAAATCATACGTTATTATTTTCAATATCCATTTAAATTCACCAGGCATTTACAGAACACCTACTCAGTGCCAAATATTGGGCTAGGAGCTGGGGACAATTTCTCTTCTCAGGGAGTTTATGGTCTCATTGGAAAGATAACAAGTAGACACACACACAATCAAAAACATACAACAAACAAATTATTATAATTCATTAAGATGACTGTCACAATAGGGGTTTGTGTGAGGGGCCACAGCAGCACCGAGAAGACAGCAGCTAAATCCCGGGTGTAGCAGAAATGTGAGAAGTACTGGAACTTCTTTTCCCCTCCAAGGATTCTCTTGACCTTCACTTTAACTTGAGTCTAAGTACGTATATGTGTTTAGAAGAGAGGATGATTCACCCCAGACCTCATACTTTTCTGCCATCTACATTCTATGACACAAGGGCATCTCTTTTTATAGGGAAGTTTGGCCTTTAATTTTTCTACAATTACTTGCCTGTAAAGACAAAAAGGTTTGCTTAAAATTCATTTGTGATCTCTCTATTCAATGTTAACTCCTTTATGGTCTTTTTCCATTGGGTCCTTAGGAAATTATTTAAAATGAAATCAGTTGGCAGGAATACTGGATTTCATGTGTCAAATAAAAAGAGCCAGTAAAAACTGTTTATTCTCAGCAGGAGTGTAGCA
Organism: Homo sapiens; assembly: GCF_000001405.40. Classification (NCBI taxonomy): domain Eukaryota; kingdom Metazoa; phylum Chordata; class Mammalia; order Primates; family Hominidae; genus Homo; species Homo sapiens. Next base: position 45,613,203 of record NC_000012.12, on the reverse strand, counting down.
TGTGAAATTGCTGGTTTGCAAAATTCATTTTAATCTATTATTTTTATCAGCATATTTTGTTGTTGGTAGGTAGTGAAAGGTGCACTGGATAAAAATACAATACAAGCTGTAGTCTGCAATACCTTAAAAAAGTCTACTTAGCAACATATTAGGTATGCTTTATTCAGTCTGCATAACACTGAGGTTTTTAATTTAATTTATGTTTCTGTTGACTGAATGTAAATAAATTAAAAAATAGGAAGTTCTTTGCATACCACTATCTCAGGGGAAGGCAGTATAGAGATAAACTGCACTTTGATCATTTTATTTTACAATCAGTATCTTAGATGGCAGATTTAAGACAGGTTCTGTAGATTGGTGTTCGGCTTTTATTACGAAGGTCTGATGTGAACAGGATATATACCACAATATAATATTATTATCCATCTTGTGCTTCAACTGCATTTCAGTGAACAACAGTAAATCACCTGTAGCTAGATACTAGATAATATGTTCTGTAAATCCCCCTTCCTTGGTCTCTGAATGAGTTTAAATATAAACATATTATCTTGTTGAAGTACAGTTAGACTATCATAAGCTCCATTATCTACCTCAGTTTTGAAAGTAGTAACGGTAATATAGAAAATGAAAATACATATCATTCTTCTTTTTGAAGTCTGTCCATCATCTAGGCAGAAAGTTTTGGAGCGTATATCCTGCCACGCTGCTCCAATGTGGAGAGAGATCAGTAGAACCCTTGATACAGTGTGTATTAAAGAAAAACAATTAATGTACAGGAAAGACTGCTGGATTTAGCTTAGGTGCCATGACTTCCTGGGAGATATGGACTCATCACTTCACTGCAGAAGTCTTCATTAGAGGCCATGTCTAGCTGGGACTTTTGAGTTACGGCTTTCAAAACATTTTACTTGTTAGTCACAACTTCCTGTAATTCACTTAGAATTCATGTTATTTGTAGTCATGACATTTCTTTAGCTTGGTTAATATATTTAAAGTGCATAAAACAGTGCCTGGCACTTAGTAATGAGTAATAGTTTCTGGTTGCGATGAAGATAATAAGAGAAACTGGCATTTTTATCAGGACCAGTACTAGGGTGAGACAAGCGGCCTTTGCAGGAACCTGAGCGGTGGACTCCTCAGATTTTGCACCCTAAGCACCTTGTTTGCTTTACCTTTATACGTTACTAGTCCTATATTAAAGATACCTCATGTCTGCATCATTATAAATTATGCAGTTTATACACATAGGCTTTGCTGATAGCCATTATATATTAATTATGAACACCCAGTAGAGTTTATATTTGTGACATGAACAAGAGATAAAACTTTGCAAATATATTAATATATACATTTAATAGACACTTCAAATGTGCGTGTTACATAAATACAATGTTTATGTACACAAAATTATGCACATACATAAACACTGTAGATATACATCATATTATTTATGCTGACATAGAATTTAGAATATGCCATACACAGAAATATAATTGGATGTTTCCAAAATACATACATTGCGTGTGTGTAGAAACTCACTAAGGAGTGTGCTTTATAACCATGTAAAACCATTGCTGCTTTCTAAGGACTCAGCATTTTCAAAGTTTCCTCTATGAACCGATTGACAGCATTTCGCATCATCCCCTCCGCTTGACCCAGGCCTGAAAGTTAATCTGATTTGCCAGGACCACAGAGCAAGCCAGAGGAGGAGCACGGCTGGACCTCAGATCTTCAGCATCCCACGTATTGGAAGTGAAAATTGTCACCCATGACTTTTAAACTTGCTTCCTCTAGTCTGACATTGTTAAGGGTCCAGCCGACGAAAGGATGGAAGGTGCGGACTCGGGCTGGCGCCGGATGGAGGAAGACGCGCAGCTGCACTGGACCCAAGCGCCAGCCCCAGCCCCAGCCCCAGCCCCAGCCCCAGCCCCAGCCCCAGCGCCAGCCCCAGCGCCAGCCTCAGCCCCGGCGAGGCGCGCGTCTCCCTGGGAGGCAGCGTGTCTGTGCGCGCACATCTCTAAATGGGTAAATTTAGAAGTCGTGTAGGTGTGCTTATATAAATATGCCTCTGCCTTTTTCTCCAAGGCACTGAAGAAAAGAGAGACAACACTGGATCTTCTGTGTGTGATTAGGCTTTTTTTAAAGTTGTTAACCGAATCTATTCGAAGTCAGAAATTGCATGGGTTGTGGCAATTAGATACCCAGGAAATCTGGCAGGAGCCACAGCATTGCTTTTTTGATATTATCTGGGTATTATATTCCATCCTCATGTAAAAATTTGAACATAACCCATAAGACTAATATTCTTTTTTTTTTTTTTTTTTTTAAGATGGAGTCTCGCTCTGTCGCCCAGGCTGGAGTGCAGTGGCGCAGTCACGGCTCACTGCAACCTCCGCCTCCTGGTTCAAGCGATTCTCGTGCCTCAGCCTCCTGAGTAGCTGGGATTACAGGCACGCATCACCACACCTGGCTAATTTTTGTATTTTAAGCAGAGATGGGGTTTCACCAAGTTGGCCAGGCTGATCATGAACTCCTGACCTCAGGTGATCCACCCGCCTTGGCCTCCCAAAGTGCTGGGATTACAGGTGTGAGCCACGGTTCTCGGCCGTTTAACATTCTTTTAAACGGCTCCCCCACTTCCAATCTTAGTTTCCGTCCCAATTTGGTGAGTACCAGTCTAGAACTTCCTCTGCACATTTACATAATATATAGAGATCCATACAAAATATGTAGTATTTTTGCGTGTATGTTTATGTGATTTTATAAGAATGGAATTAGTGCGGATAAACTGTCAGCAACTTTTTTCTCCCACTAAATACTCTGACATTGGAGCTCTTCCCATGATAATAGGTAGAAATACAACGAGTTCGCCTTAGCTGAAGCATCATAACATATTCTATTGTGTGTTTATACAGGATGTTAACTAAGCCCCTACTGAATACAAGGGATGAAACTTAGTATGGGCTCAGTAAGTATTTCTTGAACACATTAATAAATAAAATTTCTTAGCTGGCCAACAAAAGAAGAAAATCTCTTCAGACATGAATACTGGGTGATGTATGCCATGGAGAGTTGACCAAATTATGCACTTAGTCAGAATAATTTCCTCACATGATACTAGTAATAACAAAGTTTCATTAGTCACTTACTGTGTGCCACCACTTTATAAGCACTTCATGTGCATTTTCTCATCTGTGATGCAGATATTATTATTATGTTCATTATACAAATGGGGAAATTAAGCTCATTGAGGTCCTGAAACCCTCCCAAGCCCTACTTCTAGTAAGGGGTGGAACATACTTTCAAACCCAGACACCAAGGCCCTAGGGGTTCCCCACCGTGGCTTTATCCTGCTTTTAAATTTTTTTTTTTTTTTGAGATGGAGTTGCGCTCTGTCACCCAGGCTGGAGTGCAATGGTGCAATCTCGGCTCACTGCAGCCTCTGCCTCCTAGGTTCCAGCAATTCTTCTGCCTCAGCCTCCTGAGTTTCTGGGATTACAGGCACCTGACACCACACCTGGCTAATTTTTGTATTTTTAGTAGAGACGGGGTTTCATCATGTTGGCCAGGCTGGTCTCTAACTCCTGACCTCAAATGATCTGCCCGCCTCAGCCTCCCAAAGTGCTGGGATTACAGGTGTGAGCTACTGTGCCTGGCCTACTTTTACAATTTAAGGCGAAAGAGAGAGAGAAAAGACTGTGTTTTCTGCTTCTGTTTTTAATCTCTTGCCTCCTATGTTTTTATATACACATGTAAATAACTTGAAGATAGACAGTAAGGGTTATAGGATGGGGATGGGAAGCAGTATGGATGGAGAGGACAAGAAATGCAGGTTAAGTGTAGGCTGGGGGAGGTAGTAAGGATAGTGCATAGAAAAAAAAAGGAAAGAATTCACCAAATTCCAGGTTGGTTAAGTTTAAGTTTACATTTTTAGAAAATCTATTAGTGTGGAGGCCTTTGTTGCTTAGAGTGAATAAGAACATTAAACTGTGGAATGGTCTTTGACTCACCCCTTCCAAGTATTGATCAAAAAGCAGGTGAAGATGGGGAATGCAGGAAAGCAACATAACTGTGACTGTACTGTGATATTAAATATCTGTGATTTTTATTGGTGATAAAATCACATGCACTCCTATTATGACTGTAGTCTTTTGCCTACCTTCATAATGGAAGGAAATAAGATTTCAGTTAACGATTTCAGTTAGAGATTGTTGAAAAATAAAGGGGTAGTGCTTTCCCCATCTCAGTTCACAGATATTCCTGAATGCTAACCAAAATGTTCATAGGCCCCAGGTTAAGAACCTTGCATTCAGTGTCATTGTTCCTGGGTCATGCGATCAGGCCCACAGGGTGAATTAAAGTAAACCAATCGTAGTAATTCCATTCTTTTTGCCAGTGGTAGTTTTAGGCATTGGCTGTAGCCATCTAAGGAAACAAAGTCACAAACCTGCTTGAGAGAGAGGAGGAGAGGGAAGGGACAGAGTAGTGGAGTAGCATTTCTGTGGAGGGGTTATTTACTCTTTAAAAATGAACAATAATCAGCTGGGCGCGGTGGCTCATGCCTGTAACCCCAACGCTTTGGGAGGCCGAGGTGGGTGGATCATTTGAGGTCAGGAGTTTGAAACCAGCCTGACCAACATGATGAAACTTTGTCTCTACTAAATACAAAAAAAATTAGCCGGGCATGGTGGTGCATGCCTGTAATCCCAGCTACTTGGGAGGCTGAGGCAGGAGAATCGCTCGAACCCGGGAGGTGGAGGTTGCAGTGAGCTGAGATTGCGCCACTGTACTCCAGCCTGGGCAACAGAATGAAACTCAGTCTCAAAAAAAAAAAACAAAAAAAACCAAAACCACCTCAAAACCTTAATCGTCATGTTGACCCCATAAGAGGATCTAGCTTAAGGGGACAACCCCCAGGCATGGCACAGGAGGCTGGGAAAGAAACAAGAAACTTCACCCTTGAAGATGTGGTTGAGCAGCTGACCCACCCACTCCTGCAGCCAGACTGGAGCCACCTACTGTTGGGCTTCATGTTGTATTTATTATGTGTATAATAATATATTTAAATATATGTCGTGATTATTTTGTTAGATGATAAACTTCTTACTGTTTGAGCTCTTTTTAATTTGTCCTTCTATTATTAGAAGCAGAAAGCATCCCAGCTTCTACAGACTGCATCATGTGGATCCTGCCTGTCTTTCTATCTTTACTTCTCACCATTCTTCCCCTGGCTCACTAGACTTTTGTTTCTAGCTCTTTGCTATTTGCTCTAGGGATGCTGCCCATCCCTCTTGTCTGACCAACCCCTTCCTGGCCCATAAGGTGTGAACTTGAATGGCATTTCTTCAGACAGACTAGTCTGATCCCTCACTCTAAATTTTATGTTCTCTCTCTTCCTTGACCCCCTTTCCCCATCACTTTCTATTTTTCTGTTATTTCTTCTCAGACCTTATCACAACTAGCACTTAATAAATATTATCTTGGGTTCATTTATTTAATTTCTCTCATTAGACAGCATGCTCCAGGAGAGCAGAAGTCCTAGCATCATTGTATTCCCTGAATTAATATGCACAGTGTCTGTGCATACACAAGTGTGTGTTGAATAAATAAAAGCCTCATCTCAGTCTGATTCTCTTCCAGCACTCAGAAGAAGGTAGGATATACCTTCCTGGGTGACTGTGTCTTAACACAATCTCCTACATTACTCTTATTCCTGTCTTGGCTTTTGTTTGTTTGTTTGTTTTGAGACAGGGTCTTGCCCTGTTGCCCAGGCTGGAGCACAGTGGTAGGATCTTGGCTCACTGTACAGTGTCAACTTCCCCAGGCTCAGGTGGTCCTCCCACCTCAGCTTCCTAATAGCTGGGATGATAGGCACACACCACCACACCCAGCTAATTTTCAAATTTTTTTGTAGGGACGAGGTCTCACTATGCTGCCCAGTCTGGTCTTGAACTCCTGCACTCAAGTGATCAGCCCGCCTCTGCCTCCCAAAGTGGTGGGATTACAGGCATGAGCCACCGCTCCTGGCCGTGTTTTGGCATTTTAAGCAGACAAATAAAAGCCTAACTCAATGATCATAAGTTGCAGAAATAATTGGAGCAGTGAAGAATTGAGCCACAGGGATAGGATAGTTTGAGTGGGAGAATAAATAATAACTAGTACTATGAATAGGTACACAATTATAGTATTTTTAAAGAAACCTACTGATTTTTAGATATAGGGTGCATTCAAGCACTTCACTAAAATTTAACTCTAGTTTTCCCAGTGTATTCTTATATTGTCTAACATTGTAATCTACAATGTGATAAATATATTCACTCTTCCAGTTGTTATGTGTCATTTCTGTTTCGTATCTTACTACATTGCTGAGAATATCCTGTGCAATTTTAAATAATGGTGGCTTTATCAGGAGCTTTGTTTTCTTCCCCATTTTAATAGAAATGTCTCTATCAGTTGTTGATGTTGGCTCTGTGTGTGATATTTTTAAAAAAATCATATTAAGGAAGTATTTTTCTATTCCTGAAAGTTGCTTAATTATGGTACCAGTTGGAAACATGTAAAGAGGCATAAGTGGTTTGAAAAATTTTTTTTTTATTAATAGATATGGGGGTCTCACTATGTTGGATAGGGTGATCTCGAACTCCTGGCCTCAAGCAATCCTCCCACCTTAGCTTCCTGAGTGCTGGGATTATAGGCATGAACCACCATGCCTGGACTCTAACTGTTTTTTTTTTTCTTTTTTCTTTTTTTTAACATTCTGTGAGACTGGTCTATTTTCATATGTCAAATCCTCTTTACTTTTATCTTGTCTCATTTTTTTATGTAAGTCTATTTGTGAGTGTCCCACCTTCCTGCTGAGTGGTAGGCCTAAGTTTGCAGAGATAATAAAATGGACTTACTAGGTGACCCACACAAGTATTAAGCATTGCAGCTGAAGAATGATGGCTGAATATGTAACTGTCATCTGCTGTTCTTTTAACTGCTCCTTCTTGACATGAACTATGTATTTAATATATATTTTACGATATACTACCTATAGTTACTACCTAAAAAGAACTTACTCTGTATCAGCCCTATGCAAATCACTTTATATGGCTTCTGTCATTCAGTCTTCACAACATTCTCTGAGGTAGGTTCTACGATTACAGTTACCAGACACAGAATTCAAAATATATATGCTTGCTATGTTCAAGGAGATAATACAGAATTGAGAATTTAAGCATAAAATTGGAAACTATATGATGCAATACAAAAAACACAAAAAATTAAGACTATAATAAATGTGTGCAGTAGACAAATGTGAAGAGAGAATTAGAAAATTGGAAGATAGGTCAGAAGAAAATATCCAAAATAATAATGGAGAAAAATAAGAATGGTTAATAGCTGTATGGGATACCATGAGAAGAGCTAACATATGTATTACGGGAGATCCAGAAGATTGAAGAGAGAAGAAAGAACATGAGCCAAAAATAATATTTGAAAAGATAATGGCTGAGAGCTTTCCAAAATGAATGAAAGCAATCAAGCAACAGATTCAAGAAGACCTGGGAACCACAAGGAGTAAAACTACAAAAAGAAACTCTAATCTAGGCACAACAAAGACAAACCAATGAAAACTAAAGATAATACATTTTAAAAAACATAAATCCTTTGCACACATTTACACACATGAAAATCTTTTTTAGAATTTTAGCCATTTCCACTACCTGTAAAGTTCATCTTCTTTTGGGATTTTGTATCTGATCAGTTCTATCTTTGGAAAGTCTTTTATTTTTGTAGGTAAATTTCTTTGCTTTTATTACGGGATGGTAAAATTTTTTCTTCTAGTGAAAATGGCAGAGGCAGATTCATGTGCTGACTACATTAGCTGCTTGAGTGTTAAGGTAGCAATTCCAGTATCCCTAACTATGTAAGGAATAGAATTTCTCTCTGCGGTGACAGGAAGGAAGAAACTATCAAAGGAGGTGTTCTTTCACTATCTGTAGTGGAATTCCCCGAGAGAAAAAGACAATCTAAATGAATTACTTAAGATTTGTTTATGGACTATTTCTAAAGTGCAAAAGATTGAAATTATAAGACATCTAAAAGCAAAAACATAACAGGAAAAACAACAAATAGTAGATGGTTTTCTGGATCAGAGCTGATAAAAGAAAATCTTCCACCACATTAAATTTAAAAAGGTTTAATTGGGCAGTGAACGATTGGCAAATTGGGCAGCCTCCTGAACCTGAGTAGGCTCAGAGACTCCAGTGCAGCCATGCGATGAAAGATTTATGGACAGAAGAAGGAAAGTGATGTACAGAAAACAGAAATGAGGTACAGAAACAGCCGCATTGGTTACAGCTTGGCGTTTGCCTTATTGAAACACAGTTTGAACAGTTGGCTACATTTGATTGGCCAAAACTCGGTGATTGGCACAAATGTAGGCTATGGTCTGGTTACACCTCCACTTGTTATAATTCGCGAGGTACAGAGAAACCTTTAGGCTGAACTTAAGTAAGGAGTCACCTTTAGGCTAAATTTGATTTAACAGAGCTGAGGCACCAGTGTTTGGATCCAGGAATTCTGGCAATAAAAAACAAAGAGGAATAAACATAAGATTATATCGCATTTATTTATTTATTTACCTAGAGATGGAGTCTCCTTTCACCCAGGCTAGAGTGCAGTGGCGCAATCTCGGTTCACTGCAACCTCCGCCTCCCAGGTTTGCCCAATTAAAGCAATTCTCCTGCCTTAGCCTCTCGAGTAGCTGGGATTACAGACGTGCGCTACCACGGCTGGCTAATTTTGTTTTGTATTTTTAGTAGAGACGGGGTTTTATAATGTTGGCCAGGTTGGTCTCAAGCTCCTGACCTCAAGCGATCCACCTGCCTAGCCTCCCAAAGTGCCGGGATTACAGGAGTGAGCCACTGCGCCTGGCCAGGTTTTATTTTTAATTTTTAATTTTTGGAAGCACAGAGCATACAGATTCACTTACACAAGCAACATTTTTTCCTGGAAGTTAAGAAAAGGAGACAACAAACGTAGTTTAGGAAGTGCTGGATTTGGAGGTAAGACAACTGGGTTCAGTTCTAACTTTGCCACTCCTTAACTGCTCAATTAATCTGTGTCCCAGTGATTTCTAAAGAAAGGAGGATAAAAATAATTGACCCACTTGCCTCCTGTAGTTGATACTTACAGTCACATTAGAAATGTTAGATAAAATAATATTAAGAAAGACTTCTCTGGAGGTAAAGGGATGGGAAAAAGTACCTGCCTGCTTTAAATGACTTCAGGAATAAAAGTTGGATTTCATTCCAGCATACTTGACTGCAAAGAAGAATCCAGTCTCAATGTCAATAATCTTGAGGATTGAAAGAGAGGCATTAAGAATGAAGATGAAGCCAGGCAGGGTGGCTCGTAAGTGTAACCCTAGTACTTTGGGAGGCCAAGGAGGGCAGATTACTTGAGGCCAGGAGTTTGAGACCAGCCTGGCCAACATGGTGAAACCCTATCTCTACTAAAAAATACAAAAATTAGCTGGGTGTGGTAGTGCACACCTGTAGTCTCAGCTACTCCAGAGGCTGAGGCATGAGAATCGCTTGAATCCAGGAGGTGGAGTTTGCAGTGAACCGAGAGCATGCCACTGCACTCCAGCCTGGCAGCCTGGGCAACAGAGTGAGACTTTGTTTCAAAAAAAAAAAATGAAAAAGAAGAAGAAGGAAGAAGGAAAAAGAAGAAGAGGAGGAGGAGGAGGAGGAGGAGGAGGAGGAGGAGGAGGCAAATAGTGTCCCAATATTTAGAAAGTATTTATATAGTATGTATTGGTAGAGGCAAGAAAGAACATGAATTCCAGGAGAAAAAAACTAAAATATATTGATCTTTGGCAAGATTCTGTAGTGAATTTTGAGATAGTTTATTTGTTAGGTGAAGAAAGAAAGTTGCAGTTACCAGCAACCAATAGGACTTCACCAAGAGCAACTTAAAACAGCCATTCTTTTTGTTCACGTTACCAAACTGGTAGGTTGAAGGAATGCATCATGATTCTAACAAAACAGATGATGAAGTTTCTGGGTATCACTGAGAACAAGATGAAGAAAAGGGTCAAGAAGATAAAATAATTAGGTAGATTCCCTAACTGGTTGAAGGCTTGTATCTCAGGATCTCCCACTAATGAACTAGGTGGCAAAGCTTTAGCTGGCATGCTGCATGGGTCTGTTCAACTTCTTAAATTATCTGCTTAGATGAAGACATGCTTACTTCATTTTGAGATGCTATAAAGAGAGTTAATGTGTTGAGTGACAAAATGAGATCTGAAAAGGCCAGGTATGGTGGCTTGTGCCTGTAGTCCTAGCTATTTGGGAGGCCAAGGTGGGAGGATCACTTGAACCATGGAGTTTGAGTCCAGGCTGGGCAACAAAGCGAGACTATGTCTCTTAAAAAAAATAAATAAATAAGGGCTGGGCACTGTGGTTCACACCTGTAATTCCACTTTTAGCGGCTGAGGTGGGAGGATCGCTTGAGACCAGGAGTTCAAGACCAGCCTGGGTAACATGGCAAAAACCTGTCTCTACTAAAAAGACAAAAATTAGTCAGGTGTAGTGGCACATCCCTGTAGTCTCAGCTACTAGGGAAGCTGACATGGGAGAATTTTTTGAGCCTGGGAGGTCAAGGCTACAGTGAGCCATGGTTGTGCCACTGCACCTTGGCCTTGGTGACACAGCAAGACCCCATCTCAAACAAAGCAAAACAAAGCAAAAATAAATAAATAAGACCTCAAAATATCTTTATAGCTTTGAAGCAGCTGCGAATGGAAAACAGTAAATTTAATAGGGAGGAATAAATACAAAGTGAACATTTTCCTTACATTAAAAATTAGCTGCACAGGATGGTAGAGATTTGGCTTAATCAGTTTATATGCAGAAAGGACTCAGGGTTTTCACTGACAGCAAGGGCAACATGAGCAAGTCATGTGATTTGCCATAAAACACCCCCAAAACAAACAAAGATCCTTTCTTCTTAGGCCAGACTGAGAGGAATACCCTGTCCAGTCCAAGGAAATAATAGTTCTTCTGTATTTGGAATCAATTAACTTACATCTGGATGATCGTGACTAGATAGGGATGCCACATTTTAACGGGAGCATTGACAAAGTGGAGCTGACCAGGGAGGGTGATCAGAATGTTGAAAGGTCTGGAAACAATCACACAAAGAACAGCTGGAAGATCTTGGTTTATTTTGCCTGGAAAAGGGGATGGTGCGGGTCTGTGTTTACAGGGGGAGATAACATAACGTCTGCAAAGAATTTAGCACAGGGCACTATACCTAGTAAACACCCAGTAAATGCCAACTGTAATTCTGGTTCCAATAATGGAAGCCTTGAACATTCCATAGCCTCAAAAGGCAACACTAGCAACAATGTAGAGAAATTGTGGGAAACACTAACTATTTTAATATAGAGATGGAAGAACTTTCCCTCACAACTATGCTAAGATACAACGGATTGTTTCTTGACTTAGCCATCACCTGAGATATTATAGAAGTATCTGTTTTTATAGTAGCTATAATGTCCTAAAGAGGTATAACTAGTTGGTATTATAAATCATCTCGTGGCTTAGAAGCAGAACCTGTTATATCACTTGGCCATTTCTGAGAGACAAGCTTGGATGCTGAAATAAGACACTTTGTTAGTACTGCATATGTTCTTTGAGTGGAAGACATATTTGCAGAAGGTATGACATAATTTTCTTTTATTATTTTTAAGAAAGAAACATTTTTCAGGAGAATGTTAAGATTATTAGCATATAATAGCACTCAATAAATATTTATTTAATGAATTATCAAGACAAAATAATTTTCATTGTCACTACCTGTAATGACTAGAAATTCCCAAGCAGAGGGAACGTGGCAATGAGAAAATAATCTTTTCAGACTGGATTAAGAAAATATGGCACATATACACCATGGAATACTATGCAGCCATAAAAAATGATGAGTTCATGTCCTTTGTAGGGACATGGATGAAGCTGGAAACCATCATTCTCAGCAAACTATTGCAAGGACAAAAAACCAAACACCGCATGTTCTCACTCATAGGTGGGAATTGAACAATGAGAACACATGGACACAGGAAGGGGAACGTCACACACCGGGGACTGTTGTGGGGTGGGGGGAGGGGGAAGGGATAGCATGAGGAGATATACCTAATGTTAAATGACGAGTTAATGGGTGCAGCACACCAACATGGCACATGTATACATATGTAACAAACCTGCATGTTGTGCACATGTACCCTGAAACTTAAAGTATAATAAAAAAAAAAGAAAATAACCTTTTTCCTCCTCACATCAGAGAAATCTTTTCCCACATTGTGGAGTGCTATACGTGTGTGTGTGCATGTGTGTGTGCATGTGTATGAACTTAATCTTCCTCATCCTCAGGGAATTGTTCCTGCCTGGAGGTGAGGGAACCATCAATGGCCTTGTCTGAGATGCACGCCTTGGTGCACAACAAACTCCTCTGCCATCGCTTAGTCCTTCAAAGCTGACAGTGCTTTTAGAGGTAAAAGCTAAATGGAAATCTCTTTTTCTCCTCTTCCTTTCTCTTCTTAATGTGCATTTTGGGAGGCAGTAGGCAGGCACACCTACTGTATTGCTGATTCACAAACTTGAGAGCAAGGGTTCCTACTGCTGGTTGTATAGACCTTGCCAGCAGCTTGTTTTTATCAAGGGACACTTTAACAATCATCATTAATAACGGAGCTAATATTTTTTCACTGAGCTATTACACAGTGATGGAGAGCCACTGGTAAACTCAGCCCCATGCCCTGACCTAACCAATCACCTTGCTTTCTAGATACTAGATCAATTAGGATGTTTAAGATTTAAGGTGAGATGTCAGATAATTTTGATGGCTAGGAGATACATACCTACCAACTCTACTTAAATCTGTTCATGATAAGTGATATCATAGATATATTCGATTTCTCAGCTTTAAAGAACTTTAGAGATCATGCAGTTTTACATTATTCCATTCAAATAAAATAGAAGGAAACAGCTTGGTACCCAGATGGAGGGGTTCACCACTAGCCTTAGCATATCTATTTTATAAGTTTTATAAGAAAAAGGATGAAAATAATACCAGCTTTTAAACTTGTATCCCATTCTGCAAGAGGTGGTTTGGGGATCAGCTTCTGAGGTTGGATGGGAAGAAAACAGGTCTATGTTGGAGGAAACAGATGGAGCCATGGTGAGAAACTCAGATGCTAGTGAGATTTATTTTTACTACTTGCAAGTGGAATTGTGAGGGAGGTATTTTAAAATATAGTCAGACTCAATTTACGTAAACAGTTATGAACAGCATTAAGGTTTAGACTTTAGAAATTATGTTCAGTTTAGAAGTTATGACAGTTATATGAAGTTGTTCATATTGCCTGTACTGGTGATAGTAACAACGTCCTTTCTTTTCCTCTTGAATGAATTTTTTTAAATTTTGAAACTTGACCGAAAAGGTGACTATGTAGACTGAGAAACCATCAGGTTACAAGAACAAGGAAGAACTGTATTTATATTTTGTGCTTGTGACTAATGTTGGAGGCAATCATTTATTTATGTATTTATTTATGTATTTATTTATTTACTTATTTTGAGACAGAGTCTTGCTCTGTCACCCAGGCTGGAGTGCAATGGCATGATCATGGCTTGCTGTTGCCTTGACCTTCAGGCTCAAGTGATCCTTGTGCCTCAGCTTCCTGTGTAGCCGGGACCACAGGCACATGCCACCACACCCAGCTAATTTTTAAATTTTTTGTAGAAACAGGGCCTCACTATGTTGCCCAGGCTTGTCTTAAATTCCTGGGCTCAAGCGATCCTCCCACCTGGGCTTCCCAAAGTGTTAGGATTACAGGTGTGAGCCACAGTGCCTGGCATATATCCTAATACACTTTCTAATGTGATTCTCTGACACATGCATGAGTTTTAGGATTTCCTTCCTTCATTTATATGACTTTATCTCCCATCATGCCATATATAGTTTTTTTTTTTTTTTTCAGTTATTTACTTCCTTCCAAGATTAAAGAGTTTTGGTCATTTTTAAGCTGATTTATGTGACCTTAACTCCAAATGTTATTCTTTAAAGTAAATTTGTAGGATATTTGGGAACTATTTGGGCACATTCCTTGATTGCATTCAATGTCTCACAATGTGGCTTATAATGGTTAGAATAGACTGGGCACAGTGACTCATGCCTGTAATCCCAGAACTTTGAGAGGTCAAAGTGGGAACATCACATGAGTCCAGACATTTAAGACAAGCCTCATCTCTACAAAAAAATTAAAAATTAGCTGGATGTGGTGGCATGTGACTGTGGTCCCAGCTACTTGGGAGGCTGAGGCACAAAGATCACTTGAACCTGAAGGTCAAGGCTTCAGCGAGCCATGATCATGCCACTGTACTCCAGCCTGGGCAACAGAGCAAGACCCTGTCTCCAAAAGAAAAAAAAAGTTTGGAATGAAAACTCTGCTGAGGTTATTTTAGACTCTGCAAGCAGAGTGATTTTATTGTTGTTTATGTTAACACTGGGAGTAGGAGCCTCTAAGAAAGTTGAGATGTCTCTGACTTGATGTCAACAGTTAATCTGGAAACATGAAAACCAGTTTAAGTATCCCCTTTTTGAGATTAAATTATCTGAAATGTCAAGATACTAGTTGTAATCTTGTTTCTTGGCACCTACTTCTAACCCTTAAACACAATAACTCAATAATCAAGAAAAGTATTTTGGAAAAAAAAAAAACCCAGTAATGGTTTATAATTGAGGTCAGCATAGTTGTGGGACTGGAGTGCTCTGTAAGTGACACGCAGTCCGGGAAGTAGATTTTGGGTATCTTTGATGTTTCTTTCTTTCTTTTTTTTTTTTTTGAGATGGCGTCTCGCTCTGTCTCCCAGGCTGGAGTGCAGTGGCGCGATCTCGGCTGACTGCAACTTCCGCCTCCTGGGTTCAAGCAATTCTCCTGCTTCAGCCTCCTGAGTAGCAGGGATGACAGGCGCCCACCACCATGCCCAGCTAATTTTTGTATTTTTAGTAGAGACAGGGTTTCACCGTATTGCTAGGCAGGTTTCACCATATTGCCAGGCTGGTCTCGAACTGCTGACCTTGTGATCCGCCTACCTCAGCCTTCCAAAGTGCTGGGATTACAGGTGTGAGCCACCACTCCCGGCCTGATATCTCTTAACTATGATCTGAACAAATCACCTGTGAATTATAACTGAAGGGTTTTCTTATTAAGATGCCATGTCCTATCCCTAGCAAATAAAACTAACCATACTCTGGGATATAAGAAATGCAGTGAGACTTTTTGCAATGCCAGCATTAGAAGCCTAGCTGAAGCCACACACTCCAGTCCAACCAGGTGCTCTGTAGATTTTATTGTGTATAGAAAATGGGCAGTAAGTAAATAAAGTCTATATACTTAAATATAAACTTACATTTATTGATCTCCAATATTTTCCTTCTCCCCTGCTTTCAATGGGCAGCCTGGCCCTCAGGGTTGTCTTACTTCAGTGATTGTTGTAGGGTAGGTAGAAGTGGGATGGGACAGGATAACGTGGACGCTGCTTGGAATCATGCTACTTCTCATCTTTTGTAAAAGCCTAAGCTTATTTAAGACATTGTTCTGGAAATATTGGATGAAGAAGAGAGAGACAAGATGCTTTGGAGGGCAAAAAGATAAGAAAATGAGGATTTTTGAGGATCGACGTAAGAAAGAACACGGTCTCCAGGGCAGAGAGTAAAGAAATACACAGTGTATTGAGCACAGGCTCCCCAAGCCCCGTCAAAATGTCAGTAAAGGAATTACAAAATGTGTAAGCCCATAAGGACAAAGAGAACAGAAGAGGCGACAAGAGCAGATCAGAGTTATCAATAAAAGTTTAGAGTTTGAAAAGTAAGTAGGTATGTTGTAACTAATTTAGCAGATGAGGGATAACTGAAACCTACCTTTCTCTAGAGGCGGATAACTAAAAGAAATGGGCAGTTCACATCATAGAACCAGGGCAAGTCTTAGAACCGGAGGCACCAGATACCATGGAAATGGAGGTGAAGGGTAAGACTGAACCAGGAGGAGTGGTGAATGTTTACCTAAGAAGTAATGAGACCCCTGTTCCTGTTTTCTACCTGGGTCAGCTGGTCAGCTACCTGTTCCCTACCCTGGTGGGTGACTGAAGATTTGTTTTTTTCCAGGAACTGAACTAGAATATCAGGTATTAGGGCATTAGGAAGGTGCTGGAAGGAACACAGGAAGATGAGAATGAGGTGGGAAGGTAGCAGGCAGGAGAGAAAAATCTGGATTTCTTGGAAGGTTTGCCAGCTAAAGCCAGACCTGACAACTGAACAGTGAAGAAACACCATCAGAAACCCACAGAGCAGCTTGAGACCAGTAAAGAAAGCCTGTTCTGAGGAAAACTGGCAATAGTAGTCCTCAGAGAATCTGATTAGGGCTCAGATCCTTCAAGCAGAGTAAGGACAGAGAAAGAATTTCCAAGTTACTGTTGAAGTGACGCATTCTTGCCATGAACCCCCACAAGCATAACTAGGTTGGGAAAGAATAAATGACCTTCATGTGTAGACCAAACACAAATGGAGAAATATAAGTGCTGAATAAACACATGAAAAAATGTTCAGACTCACACATGATCAAAGGAGATACATATACAATGAGATGTCCATTTCAACTAGCCAAGATTAAGAAGAATGAGAATACCTACTGTTGGTCAGGGTGTGTTGACCCAGCATAGTGCTGGAAGGAGTGTAAATAGACTATTATTTGAAGAAAGTGTTTTGACAATATTTATCAAGAGCTTTAAATATATTCATTCCTTTTGGCCCATAAATTCTGAAAATCTCACCTAAGAGGAATATAACTATAAATGTAAATAAATATGAATGATAAAAGATACTTAACATTTATTATCTTTAATAAGTAAAAGATTAAAGAAACTAAATGCTTAACAATAACATCCAAGTAAATTATGTTACCTTGCTGCAATGAAATATTATGCAGCCATAAAAATTTATGTTCACAAAGGGTTTGCACAGTTGAAATGTTGATGCAATTGTATTAAACAGCATAAACATTTTTATAGATGGTATGCTCTCACTTATGTGAAAGAAAACTGCAAAAAAATGCTTGGAGGAAATGTGCCAAAATATGACAATTGCTGCGTGTGTTTGGATTATATATGTTTTTCTTCCTTTAATTTTTTAATTGAATTTTAAAATTTTCTAAATAGCTTTTTTTTTTTAATAGGAATGAATACTTTTGGACTGGAAAGTAGACCTGGAAAAATGGCCGTTAGGTTTTCTGTTAACTTCAAACTCATCGGGGAAAGTAGATATAACAAATGTGTAGAGGTGCAGTATTTTAAAAACTGAATTTACGTTGAGGGGGATGAGTAAATAAAGTACGGAGGGCATAATAATGTCCCTCCAAAGATGTTCATGTCCTAATCCTGAGAACCTGTGAATATGTCAGGTTTCATGGCAAAGGGGAATTAAGGTTGCAGATGGAATTAAGGTGTCCTAATCAGCTGATGTTGAGGTGGGGAGATTAACCAGGATTTCCCAGGTGGGCCCAGTGTAATCACAAGGGTCCTTGTAAGTAGAAGATAAAAGCAGAAGAGAGAGAGAGAGAGAGAACCAGAGAAATGGCAATGTGAGAAGGACTTGGCCTGACATTGCTGGCTTGCAAGATGGAGAAATGGTGCCACAAGCTAAAGAATGTGGGTAACCTGTAGAAGTTAAAAAGGCAAGATAATTGATTCTCCCCTAAAGCCTCCAGAAAAATGATAGCCTGTTAACAGCTTTATTTTTGCCCAGGGGGTACCATTTTAGACTTTTGACCTTTAGAACTGTAAGTTAATACTTTTGTGTTGTTTTAAGGCACTAAGTTGATGGTAATTTGTTACAGCAGCATTAGGAAACTAATACACACACCATGATCCCATTATTATGACAGAAGTCAGAGTCACTAATAAAATGACAAGTATGTGGTTCAACATTTATATAAAGGTTTAGAGTATATGAATACTTTCAACATGCTTTAGTTTATTTGATCCTCACAGCAATCTTGTAAAGGAGAAAATGCATGCTGTTCCTGATTTTGCAAGTGGGGAAAATGGAGGCTTGGCATGGTAAAACAATTTGTTGAAGGCTACACAGTGGCAGAGTTTGGATTCAGAGCCTGGCCTCTGACCCCAAGTCCATGCCTCTCACCAGGCACCTTAAAAAGGTTAAGCAAAACAGAGCAGAACCCTTTGTAAAATGTGGATCTCTATCTTGGCCAAGTACAGCAGAGAAAAGGAATGCTGTGAATAGTTGGTGTGTTAAGTTTATGGGATTTATTTTCTACAAAATTTTTGAACAGAGCAAAAGAAATTAAAGTAATAAAATCCAGTCATTTCAAACCTGTACTCCAGTTATTTTCTTTTCCTTCTCCAAAAAACGAAAGTATATTTATACATTGACAAATAGGGCAATTCTTGGATTCCTGGGGAGGATGATCAAGTCTGCAGTTTGGCTTGCCTACCCACCACTGATATTACTTTGCCTTTCTTCTACTCATGGTCACCTACATCAGATGATGGCAGTGGGGATTTTTTTTTTTAAGGTGCAATTCAAGCCCTTGGGTGATGGTTAACTTTATATATCAACTTGACTGGGCCATGGGTGCCCAGACATGTGCTAAAACATTATCTCTGTATGTGTCTGTGAGGGTGTTTCCGGATGAGATTAACATTTTAAATTGCTAGACTGAGTAAGCAGATAGCATTCCCTAAAGTGGGTGGGTCTCATCTAATCAAGTAAAGACCTGAATGGAATAAAAAGGCTGCATAAGAGGCAACTCTGTCTGTCTGTCTGTTTGAGCTAGGCCATCAGTCTTACTTGCTCTTGGACTAGGACTACACCACCAGCTCTCCTGGGTCTCCAGCTTGCTGCTTGCAGATCTTGGGACTTCTCGGCCTCCATCATCACATGAGCCAATTCTGTATGATAAATCTCTTTATATCTCTATCCTACTCTCAAATATATATGCAATTGGTTCTGTTGAGAGAGCCCCGATTACAACTAAGTGTGTGTGTGTGTGTATAACTAAATGTTGGTATATAACTAAATGTTAGTTTGTAAAAAGTGTCAGTGAGAAAAATAGGTTCAAATCCCAAGTAAGCTAATTTAATCTTCATGGTTTCCTCCTGATTACTTTGGAGGTAGCTCTCTTTCTGACATTCTGTAATTTGTGGATGTGCACCTAGGAAGAAACAGCTGATGCTTTTTTGGAAAGCAAGAACAGACTTTAGTACTTAGGGTGTTTTGTCTACCAGGGCGTAGTTGAAACCTGAACTGGAGATGTGGTCAGATCCCAAGGGAAGGGGCTGGGCAGGGTGTCTGGGGAGGGAACTGCTCCAGGGTAGTGAGGAAATGAGCCCAGAGTGTCTGTTGACTGTTTTTGTTTTTTAAAAAATCGACTTTCTTTAAAGAGGAGCTTTATTTTGCACAGCAAAATAGAGAAGTAAGTACAGGATTTCTCATATATCCCATGTCCCCACATATCCATAGCGTTCCTGATTGGCTGGTGTTATGATGTACGTTTTGTACGCTTTCCATCATGGCCACTAGTTACCTTTCAATAAAAAGGCTACAGAAGATCCCCCTTGGTGAAAATGTGCTCTGGAAGAGAGACTTCTCCTTCTACCTCCCCCTTGCAGCGCTGCCTCCCACTTGTTATCCTCCCCCTCAATCTCCAGCTATAGCCCTGTCCCCCTCCACTCTGCAGGTCTAGGTAGGAGGGATGAAGCTTGCCCTTCTTTCCCCTCTCTCACTTCCAGAGGGGAGGTAGTATGATCTCCCCTCCCTGGTGTGCGGAATGCAGATGTGACTCTCCAGTGATGACTACTGGATTCTATCACTGTGCCCTGAGAGTCCCCAGGGCTCAACGCCTCTCACTGCCTGATGTATATTTCACTCTACAAACCCTGCAGGGTTCCTGATCCATCCAATAGGCCTCTTGACTGATATCTTCTCCACTCTGACCCATGTTTAGAGAAGCAGGCTTCTTCTTAAAGTCCAGTGCCCCAGTTCCGCCATGAGGACCCAAGCCATCCCTGTAGCTATCCTTGAAGCCTCATCTTTCGATGAGCCCTCTACTGCCCTTAGGTAGACTCATACTTGCTGGGCACCTAGTTTCTGTGCATCATAAAGGTGTAGCAGCTACTTCATGATGGCTCCTATGCCAACCATTTGCCTAAAAATAAGCTACCAGACTTCAAAAGCTTCTCCAGTCTGATCACACCTCTCATGTGAGCCAGGCTGGTTCCCACTACCTTCCTTTGGGCATAGTGTACGGGCCATACCTGAGTCCTCCTCCTGCTTGCCTGTTTTGGGGCAAGCATGGAAATAAGCTTGAAATACTTGTCAAGAGTCTCCTGAAACACTGTAAAGTATTTAAAAAAAAAATAGAATATCTTAGAGGGGAATTGCCACCCCCCCACTGCCTGTCTGTATCCTTCTGATACTTTACTGAAGGACCAAAGTTTTGTCATTCCTGGAAATCGGGATTTAGAAGTCCACTGTGAGGAGTGAGGCGGCTGTGAGAGATGGGGGCAAGGGACCAACATGTACTGAGCAGTGACACTTGCTGGGAGTTTTATATCTTTTGATTTAAAAAATGTTCACAGTGCCTGCACAAGGCAATGGATAAAATTATTTTATTTTACAGATGAAGAAAGTGAAACTCTCAGAGGTTGGATAAGCTAGGATGCTGTGGAACCAAGATTCAGATCTGCATTATTCCAAATACAGGATTATTTGATTTCATATTAGATGCAATTCTGTATCAGATGCTTAAAAATAAAAAACAAAACAAAAACCATAGTACAGACCTTCAAGGCACTCAGTATCTAATAGTTGTTTATATCCTTCCTTCCTTTGAATTCTGTTTCTTGAAATGTACCCTTCTTCTTTTCTGGCCATAGGAGGTGATATATTGAACATCTTTCCTAGTAAGTGGTAGAAAACTGTTTTTATCAAATGCTTTGAGATGGAAAAAAAGCTTTGACCACACTCCGGAGAGGTCCATTTCTAGATGCACTGGACGTTTTCAGTAGTAAAAAACCTAGCATGTCAGTTTTACACCATGGAGGCATTTTTGTCTCAGCATTACTGTAAAGTATAAGAAATAAAATAAATGCACTATCCATACTTCCTTAACTGGGGGAAGGGAATACTTAGTATGAACTTTATGTCCCTTCCCTGTGAAATAGTCAGCAAATAGTCCTGCATCATAAAGGTAGCTCTGTTGCTCTCTCACTGTGCCGTGCTACCCCTATCAAGTCTGTGCATGATCTGTGGAGGGTGTTGTCATAGGTGCCCATTCAGGGGCTCGCTGCCAGGCGGTACAGGTGTAACCGATGGCCAAGGCCTCCCTGTGCTGGCCGTATGTCATCTAAGGCTGTCTGCCTTTGAATTGATGAATCCTCAGTGAAAGCAGATGTGCACTTTTTTTTAAGTCCCTTTCAAAAGGAAAAAAAGCAACAAAGCCTTCTATTGATTAAGGTAAAGTCAAAATTTTTTCACCTGGAGACGGTGGTTCATATTGCCTTTGTCATGAACATGATCCTCTAACCCAGTGATTTTTAGCTTTTTTTAGCAATCACATTCTTTTGAGAAGCTGTTGAAAGTTATTGACCTTTTATCCTAGAAAAATGCACATGTACACATTCAAACACAATTTTGTACAGTTTCAAGGAGTTCATGAAGCTCCAGCGATAGGAAGACCCAACTTTTTCCTCTCCCCTATGGATCTATTCTAGTTTTCTTCCAATTATGAGAATGTAGTCCTTTCCTGAGCTGGTGGTAATATGATATAGAATACCATATTTATTTTGGCATTCATGAAAATGAAAAATGTCTAGGACATTTTTTACCACTTTAGAACTCTGCTGCCTAAAAATTCACTAATTAAGAAGAACCACTGGGCATTCTTTTCAATAAACGAGGCTTAGTAATTTAGATTCCTCCCAAATATATTTTACTATTTGCATTGCCAGCTTGTTTCCACTCTTTGTCTTGTGGATGAGTGAGTGGGAGGAGAGGAGGAGTATATATTAGAATCACCCAGAGGGATTTTCAGTTATGCCCTCTCTTGTTCTTCCACCCAAGACCTGGGTATACAAGCATTCTCCTAATGGGACTCCGAGTTCCAGACCAGCCAGCAGTTTTTTTGATACCTTGTGAAAATATAAAGATTTTCTAGCAGAAAGCAAAAACTCTATTGCAATTTGGGCTGCTATATATAAGGATCCTAAGAGAGAGAGTAGATGATTCAGAGAAGTCACAGAGTCAGAGAATGTTAGAGTTGGAAAAACGTAGATGTTTCCATTGTGACTGATAACAAGAAACACACTTTCTGTCTTTATTCAGTACACACACACACACATACCCCATGGAAATAAGAGTTGTACACAACAATACAATGGACTGCATTCTGATTTTTTCTATTAAATTAAAAAAAATACTGTGCTAGTCCAAAGTCATTACATTTATGGGTTACAATCATAAATTGAAAAATTGATGTAGGCTTATGGTTTTCAAACTAAATTCTTAGAATTCTCTGATTAAGTGTCATAAGGTTGCCTGTGATAGGGGTGAGGGTGAGGGGGTGAAGGAAAGGAAGGGCTAAGGGAGAGAGGCACAGTGGGTTAAACTCCTGGTATTCTCCCCTCCCAATCAGAACAGCCTCATTAAAATTGTTTTCATATATTGGGGTTCTGTGTAATATTATTTTTATTTTTTTGTTTATTTGTTTTGAGACAGGGTCTCCCTCTGTCACCCAGGCTGGAGTGCAGTGGCACAATCTCGGCTCATTGCAACATTTGCCTCCCGGGCTCAAGTGATTCTCCCACCTCGGCCTCTTGAGTAGCTGAGACTAGAGGTGCGTGCCACCATGCTTGGCTAATTTTTGTATTTTTCGTAGAGGTGGGGTTTTGCCATGTTGCTCAGGCTGGTCTCGAACTCCTGAGCTCCAGTGATCCACCTGCTTTGGCCTTCCAAAGTGCTGAGATTACAGGCATAAGCCACCACACCTGGCCTAATATTTTATTTTTAAAACATTGAAAACCACTGATGTAGCCCATTTCTCACTTTACAGGTGAGAAATTTAAATCCAAGATTAGGTGACTTATTCCAGTCAGGCCAACAGACAGTGACCTGTCTGTTTTAGAGACCACTACGGTGGTTTTTAAAATTGCATTATTCTTTTGTTTTTAATTTTAATTAATGTGTATATGTGTTTGGTTAAAAGTCAGATGGTTTAAAAGAAGTTATGAAGAAAAGCAAGAATCTTCCAACCGTCCTCTATCCTACTCCTCTTTCTGCTTCTGGCTTTAGAGTTTCATAGCTATTTTCATTACTCAAAATATGTCTGTTTCTCTACTTCTCAATTTATCACTTTTAGGCAGTGCTATTGATTCCCACTGTGAAACATGAGGGCTTAGCTCATCCTCATCTCACTGTCACTCATCTCCTTTTCCCTCCTCTCCACTCATATTTTATAGTTATATTAACACTTTTAGTTCTACAACTGATTACCACTGTTATTTTAAATAAAAAAAAGTAGCCCCCATTTTAAAAATTATACCCTAATCTTCTTACCTCTATTCCATTCCTTTTTATTGTACCAATTCCATCATCTCTAAAAACAACACTAATACTGAGAAATTTTTGTTCATAGTAAGATGACAAAGTATGATATGGCTTCTTCAAAACACTAGAGAAACTTCACACTGTATTATTAGAGATACAAAGTCTAGAGACATAAGGTTTGAAATAGGTGAACCACAAGAGAATTTCCATAATACAAACATATACAATTACCAGTTTCTGGTCTGGTCCCTAGAAACCAAATATTCGGCATGTTTCTACCCTCTATTGTACCTAACTTTGCACCTTCTGTTCAGCAACAAAGGAAATAACTGACTAGTGAAATAAAGTTTGACATGCTAGATTTGGGCTCAAAATAAGAGAGTGCTTTCTAGTAAAGAGCCCTCCAGAGATGAATGGGGCTGCCATGTCAAGTAGTGAGTTCTCCATTGCTATAAGTGTCCAAGTACAGGATATATTGTCACTTGTTAAGGTTCTTGCAAAAGAGTAAATGGCCTTCAAGTTATTTTCAACCCTGAGATTTTGTGATTCTGTGAAATCAATGGTATATCCTACAAGGTGAGCAAAGTATACCGATCATGCATTCTCATTGGGACAATATAGCCCCCAGTGACATAAAAATGGGTTCTGGAGAGGTGGGTGGGAGAGAGGAGAGTGAAGAAAACTTTAGATATTGCAGTGATTTGTGGCTCTCCAAAGGACCAGAGTACATAAATAAATAGACAGTATATCTGCAGTATTAAAATTTCATGGAAGGTAGAGATAAGGGAAAAAAGTCTAAAAAGGCTGGAGGGAGAGCAATACTCAAAAACAAGGGAAGCAACACTGCACTAGACTCCATATTACATAATTAAGTCCCAGTGTTGTTTCTGTCTTCTCCCTTAGGAGGTCTTTTCTACTAGTTGTCTTAGAGGCAGTATGGGGAGAGGTGGTTAATATAATAGATTTGGATTTGTACCTGTTTCCAGCATTTACTAGCTGTGTGACTGTACTAGTCAGAGTTCTCCAGATAAACAGAACCAACAGGATATATAGAGATACATAAGAGGAGATTTTTTATGGGGATTGGCTCATGTGATTGTGGAGGCCAAGAAGTCCCAGGATATGCTGTCTGCCCACTGGAGAGCCAGAAAGCTGGTGGTGTAACTCAACCTGAGGCCAAGGGCCTGAGAACCGGGTTGGCAGGAGTGCCCTCTGGTGTAAGTCACAGAGTCCAAAGGCCCAAGAACCTGGAGTGCTGGGGCCTGTGGGCAGGAGAAGATGGATATTCTAGCTCCAGAATAGAGAATGAAGAAGAGAGCCCTTCCTCTGCCTTTTAGTTCTATCCAGGCCCTCAACAGATTGGATGTTACCCACCCACAGTGGTAAGCATGAGTCTTCTTTACTCAGTCCACTGATTCAAATGCCAGTCTCTGCCAGAAACACCCTCATAAACACACCCAGAAATCATGTTTTACCAGTTATCTGAGCAACCCTTGACCCAGTCAAGTTGACACCTAAAATTAACCATTGCAAATCCACCTCTTGTCAACTTGCCACACAAGCGCATCTCCTTAAACCAAACTTAATCTCCAAATAAAGACAAGGTCATGATTCCATTGAATACGAGACAACTCTCCTGCATACAACCAAGATATGCATTAATCTCTTCCCCTGAAGAGAAAGTGAAGTTCTGGAGTGATGTTTACTTTCTCTTCGATATCCTGTAACTTAAATACTGTGATGTAAAATTAATAACACTTAAATGTCGATATAGACTCAATACATCTTATGTTGTTACATGATAAGAGAATGAAAGAGGAAAGAAAAGAAAGATATTTACTTAATATATGTATATATATACACAAACATATTCATAACACCATAGGGAGGAAATACTCATGACAATTACAGTCCTTGTTTCTGTAACTGGTCACATGGTCATACCTGGTATTTATAACCACTTTCTTCTACTACCCATTCTGTATTCCCTTTGCCTTCAGTAGCACTTCAGCTAGTCATGGTTCTTTACCTGGTGGGGTGGGACCCAGCCTTTATTCCTGAAGGGTCTGGGCCATTCATAGTCTGCCTGGGTTGGATTATTGTAGTTTCCCATTGATCTTAATCAAAGAGCATGGTATTAATAATATTAAGAGACACCCTAAGCGATCTCCTGTATTCTAGACATATTCTTCCTTATTTGCATTGTGGAATAGCAGTTCAATTTCCCCTTAGTAATCTGGCTCAATCACCCCAGCCAACACCAGAAATGCCCTCTTGGCCTATTGACTCAGAGGCACAGTGACTGGGTGGCAACCTTAACTTCCAGTTCAGTGGAATCCTTGTTGTGATGTTGCTGGTGAAAGCGTTTCTCTCTCTGGAACTAAGACCTTTAGACCAGCAGAGCATAAAATCTTAGGAACAGGAAGCAAAAATCTTGCTAGTGGATCACTTGGGGTAATAGTGAGTGATGCCACTCTCACTTTCATCCCTTGATTCCTGGACCTATGAATCCTGGCTATGAGAGAAACAGTACCATATAGTTGGATGCTGATTCAGAGCATACACAGCCTTATAGAGATATGTGCCCCAGCCTTGCA
This sequence comes from Homo sapiens, assembly GCF_000001405.40. Taxonomy (NCBI): domain Eukaryota; kingdom Metazoa; phylum Chordata; class Mammalia; order Primates; family Hominidae; genus Homo; species Homo sapiens. The sequence goes on along the minus strand of NC_000012.12, from coordinate 45,586,936 downwards.
GGTATCTGCCACCTAGTAGGCACTATAATCAAGTCTTTAAAAGGCCATTCGCTGTTCTATCAAGAAAGCTGCTTCAGCCCTCCCCGTCAGGGAAGTGAGGAGCGCTTCTGCCCAGCTGCCCGCTGTCTGGGAAGTGAGGAGCGCCTCTGCCTGGCCGCCGCCCTGTCTGGGAAGTGAGGAGCGCCTCTCCCCGGCCCCCCAACTGACTGGGAAGTAAAGAGCTCCTCTGCCCGGCCGCCCAACTGACTGGCAAGTGAGGAGCGCCTCTGCCCGGCCACCTGACAGTCTGGGAAGTGAGGAGTGTCTCTGTCCGACCACCCTGTCTGGGAAGTGAGAAGCGCCTTTGCCGGGCTCCCCACCCTCTGGCACGTGAGGAGCGCCTCTGCCTGGCTGCCCAACTGACTGGGAAGTGAGGAGCACCTCAGCCTGGCCGCCAACCATCTGGGAAGTGAGGAGCGCCTCTGCCTGGCCGGCCAACCGGCTGGGAAGTGAGGAGTGCCTCTGCCCGCCTGCCAAAGCGTCTGGGAAGTGAGGAGTGCCTCTGCCCGGCCCCCAACCATCTGGGAAGTGAGGAGTGCCTCTGCCTGGCTGGCCAACCGGCTGGGAAGTGAGGAGTGCCTCTGCCCGCCTGCCAAAGCGTCTGGGAAGTGAGGAGTGCCTCTGCCCGGCCCCCAACCATCTGGGAAGTGAGGAGCGCCTCTGCCTGGCCGGCCAACCGGCTGGGAAGTGAGGAGTGCCTCTGCCCGGCTGCCAAAGCGTCTGGGAAGTGAGGAGTGCCTCTGCCCGGCCGCTGCCCCATCTGGGAAGTGAGAAGCACCTCTGCCTGGCTGCCAACTGTCTGGGAAGTGAGGAGCACCTCTGCCCGGCTGCCACCCCATCTGGGATGTGAGGAGCACCCCTGCCTGGCCGCCAACCATCTGGGAAGTGATGAGGGCCTTTGCCCAGCCACCCACAGTCTGGGAAGTGAGGAGTGCCTCTGCCTGGCCACTGCCCTGTTTGGGAAGTGAGAAGCGCCTCTCCCCGGCCGCCCAATTGACTGGGAAGTGAGGAGGGCCTCTCCCCGGCTGCCCAATTGACTGGGAAGTGAGGAGCGCCTCTGCCCGGCTGACTCGTCTGGGAATTGAGCGCCTCTGCCCGGCTGCCACCCCGTCTAGGAAGTGAGGAGCGTCCCTGCTCGGCTGCCACTCCATCTGGGATGTCGGGAGCGCCACTGCCCGGCTGCCCACCGTCTCGGAAGTGAGGAGCGCCTCTGCCTAGCTGCCCAGCTGTCTGGGAAGTGAGGAGCGCCTCTGCCCGGCCACCCCATCTGGGAAGTGAGGTGTCCCTCTGCTCGGCTGCCCACCATCTGGCAAGTGAGGAGCGCCTCTGCCCAGCTGTCACCCCATCTGGGAAGTGAGGAGCGCCTCTGACTGGTGGCCGTGCAACCTTCCAAGTGTGAAGTGACAGCCTTGTGTGTGATCTTTTCTGTCTTCCCCAAGTTTGCATTTTCGACATTAAAGTTTACTTTTTAGTTAAAAAAAAAGAAAGCTGCTTCAGGATGGTGGGGGACACGGTAAGACCAGCGAATCCATGAGCATGGGCTTATTGCCATACTTCTGTCACTGAAGTGAGTTCCTTGGTCAGAAGCAATGCTGCATGGAATAGCATGACAGTGGATAGGCTTCTGTAAGTCCACACATGGTAGTATTGACAGAAGAATTGCATTCAGGGAAGGCAAATCCATATCCAGAGTAAATGTCTATTCCAGTAGGGACAAAATGCTGCCCTTTCCATGATGAAAGTGGTCCACTGTAATCAATCTGCCACCAGGTACCCAGCTGATTACCCTGGGGAATGGTTCCATATGGGGGCTCAGTGTTGGTTTCTGCTGCTGGCAGATTGGACACTTAGTGGTGGTCATAGCCAGATCAGCCTTAGTGAGTGAAGTGCATATTGCTAAGCCCATGTGTAACCCCCATCCCTGCCCCACTGGGGGATGACTGGTGTGGCTGCAGAAACAGGCTGACTGGTATCCACATAACAAGTCATCCTATCCACTTGATTATTAAAATTCTCCTTTACTGAGGTCACCCTTCAGTGAACATTCATATGAGATACAAATATTTTCACCTTTTTTTGCTCATTCAGAGAGGTCTGTCCACATATTTCTTCATCACAAATTTTCCTATCACATTCCTTCCAAGTTCCTGACCATCTTGACCAACCATTGGCTACAGCCCACAAATTGGTTTATAATTTCACACTTGGCCATTTCTACTTTCAAGGAAAGTGCACAGGCAGGTGCACTACCCAAAGTTCTGCCCAGTTAGAAGATTTTTCCTTCACTATTGTCTTTCAGGGATGTCCCAGAGAGGGACTTTAGTAATGCAGCTGTCCACTTTTGGGTGGTGCCTGCATATCATGCAGATCTAAAAACAAAGCCCATGTTTTCTCTTCCTCTGTCAGCTGATCATAGGGAATGCCCCATGAGGCCATAGATGCAGGCTGGGAGAGAGAAGACAGCATAGCAGAAGAGGGGACCATGGGCATTTGGACCACTTCATGTAATTCACTTTTGCTTTAAGGGCCTGCTTGGGCCTGATTGCGCATATACCACTTCTATCTGATGATGGAGTGCTGCTGTGCATGCCCAGCTTCATGGCTTGGTGGGTCACATAACACCCTGTTCATGATGCTATAGATGAATCATGTAATTTCACCAAGCCCTGGTTTTCTTCTCTTTAATGGAGGGAATGATAGCTCCTTCCACACAGAATTGCTGGAATGTTTAAATCCTTAATACTCAACGCGTGGTTTTAGAATCTTTGGCATAGGTATCACCTGGGAGCTTAGTAGAAATGCAGAATCCCAGGCCCTATCCCAGAAAGACTGAAACAGAATCTGCATTTTTAAGAAATTTACAGATGATTTGCAGGTATGTTAAAATGTGAGAAGAAATAGACTGAATGAAATAATCCTAGCAAAAGAGATCACTGTAGTACCTGATATTGAATATTGTTTCTATTAATCTCTTTCTCCCACACTACACTATCGATTTAGTGGCAGGGCCTTGTCCTGTTCATTGTTATGTTCCCAGCATTCAAAGCCTGGCAGATGGTAGCCAATAAAATGTGTATATTGATTGAAAGGCTGTTAGATGAATAAATGAATGAGAAGTGGAGTGGGGACAGAAAGTGTTCTTTCTGAATATGGCCAGAGTTGGTTTTTCTGCTCACTGACTCCTGTTATCTGACCCACAGCTACTTCCCTCAATCTATAAAGAAAGACCTTCTCCACAGAGGACGCTCTTCTTTTTTTGTCTTAAGAATATGCACATTTAATTGAGAAATTTATTGAGTGTTTTCTTTGTGTAAGTCTTGAGTTATTTGCAGTGAAGGAAACAAAGATGAGTAAGACACGGTCCGCACCCTCCGCCACCGTGTGTGTTTGTGTGCGTATTCTGTCACAAATCTCTTGCAATACACTCATTTCAACCTTATCTTGGCTTAAAAGATAAGGAGAGAACTGAAACATATGGGGTTTGTTGGCACACTGGGGCTGAGTTATGAATACTGTCACAGATACAGGAACCAAAAGATTCAGACAAGGAAAACAAGCTTTAATAAAAGGTTCCAGAATTTAGACACCTTCTCTTCCCCTACACCCACCCTCAGTGCAACCCCACCCCTCCGCGATAAGCTTCCCTGCTGCAAATAGCCTTTAAGGTCTGAGAAACATATCCTTAAAGTCACATTCTTTCTTTGTCAGTATGAGTGAGTCAACACATTTGCTTCTTTTATATTTGCTCCTCAAAGATAATTCTTTCTTTGAGTAGGTAAGCCATCTGTTAACAAGCTATCCTTAGTCCTCTGTGCAAACTATTCACCTCCTTCACCACAATGCCCACTGGAATTGGGAGAAAACAGACATCCTTGCCCTCTCTCTTACTCCTTTTTTGAAGTCTTGCATTGCTGGAAATCATCCAAATCTTTTTTTTTTTTTTTTTTGTATAAAAGAACTTTCTTTCTTGACTAATGTATTTGAAGTAATTTTTCTCCCCCAGAGGTTCATAGTTATATCAAATTCTTATTCTTTATTAAGCATGCTTGGTTTCCTTTCTGAGAGTATTTTAGATCTCACTGGGAGATTAGGCAGAGTCTGGGTCAACTCTTGGAGAGGAACATCAAGATGGATACCCAGATGCCTCCAGTCAGGGCCATGATAATTCCGGGCACCAGCCTTCCCACTGAGTCAGCAAGATTAACTTTGTAGTTCTGTAACACCTTTCATCTGGGAAGCTGAGGGCTCTACACATATGAGGTCAATTAATTCTAAGAAGCAAGTATTATGAATGTTTACTTTATTCTTTGTAGTTGAAGACAGTGCAGAGGATGGAATTACTGCCCAGGTGTGCACTGTGGCTCAGTGCTCCAGGGAGGCCCTCTAACCTCCCCTTTCAGTCTGGCTCCTGCATGGTGGATCAACGTGGATTTTGGAATTGGTTCCAGCTTATGATTGGAATCTACACCTGGATGTCCCATAGGCATCGGAACTCAACAAGTGTTCTCAGCATTCCTGTTCCTTTGCCAGTTTCTCTGTCTTGGTTGCTGGCATCACTACATACCCAACTGCCTAAGTCACTTGGATCTTTAGCATCTAGCACAGTATGTGGCATATGGGAGATGTGCACTAAATGTTATAAATATGTGAATGACTTCTCACCTTCTCCATCTTCCTCAGCCCCCTCAAATAAGCAAACGTGTGCATTAATTTTCTTGACAAAGGTTTATTGAGTACTGATGGGCCAGGTACATGAAGCTCGTGGAAATACAGCAGTGCACAAAAGCAGACAAAAATCCCTGACCTCGTGGAGTTTAAATTCTAGTGAGAGGAGACAGATAATAGACCAAATAGATTAATATATATCAAATTTTAAATAATGATGGGAACCATTGGGAAAAAAATGAGTAAGTAAAGGGATAGGGAGTGTGTTGGGTGCAGTGTCCGATTTTAAATAGGAGGTCGGGGAAGGCTCCGGTGAGAAAGTGACATTTGACTAACAACTGGGAGAGACGAGTAGATGAGCCACGTAGAAACTGGGAACTGGAGGAGAAGCATGTTTGGCAGTGAGAACAGCAGGTATGAAGGGCCTGAGGCAGAAGCATACTTATCACGTTCAAGAAGTGGAAAGAGGGCCAGTGTTGCTGTAGTGGAGTGAGCAAAGGGAGAAGGAGGTGAGGAGAGGGGACAGGGAATATTACATAGGGACACGTAGGCACTTTTAATGTCTCTTGTTTTTACTTGAAGATGGAAAGGTGCTGGAGAATTGAATGGAGTGACCTGATCTAACTCACGCGTGAAACAGAATGTCTCTGTTGTTTTGAGAATAGATGGGGGTGGGAGGTGGGGCACTATGGAGAATTAGGTGGAAGCAGAGAAGGCAGTTGGGAGACTTGGGAGAAATGGTGGATGCTCAAACAAGATGGTAGCAGGTAAGATGGTGAGAAGTGGAGTTATTCTGAGCTTACTGTGATGGTAAAGTCAACAGGATATTGACTGATAGATTGAATGTGGGATGTGAGAGAGAGAGAAGAAATGGATGACTCCAAGGAGTCTAGATGACTCAAATGAGGGTGACTGCAGGGGGAGGAGATCAAGAATTTTGGTTTGAACACGTTAAGTGAGCAAGCCCTTTAGAGATCCAAGTGAACATGATGAGTGGGCTGTTGGGTAGACAAATATGGAGTTCAGGCTAGAGAAGTGGGCTGAACCTTTTAATGTGATCAGTATGTAGTGTGTACATAAAGCCATGATACTGAACTCTTTGGAGTCATAAGAAAGACCAGAGGCCCAAAGGATTGAGCCCTGGGACTTCCAGTGTTCAGTGTTGTGGAAATGAGGAGAAATAAACAAAGGAGACTTAGAAGGAATATCCAATGAAGTAGGAGAAAGTGTGATCTCCTGGAAGCCAAGTGAAGAAAATGTTCCAAGGGAAAAGAGTGATCAGCTGTGTGAGATGATGCTATCAGGTCAAGAAAGGTGAAGACAGACATGGTTCACAAGGCATAGCAATATGAAGGTCACTAGTAATCCTGTTAAGAGCGGCTTTGGTGGTTGATAGAGTGGGTTCAAGAGCAAATGGGAGAAGACATATTGGAAGTGGTGAGTGCAGACAATTCTTCACTTCCTCATTAGTGTTTTGCTCAGTGTTCACCCAGACTATTGCAATGGGGTTCCTACCTCAAATCTTGATAATGTCTTTGGCAGGGCACTCAGGCTTACAATTTGGCTTCAACAAACATTCACAGCCTCAGCTCCTAATAATCTCTATTCTTTACCTTGTTCCCAAATGAGATCCATTTATCTTAGTGCCAGGAGTTCTCTCAAGCTTTTGTAACATTATACATGCTCTTTCTCCAGCAAAAACATCCCAACCTTAGCCTTTTCAGCCCAATGAACATCTGGGCATCCTTTGAGATGCAGTTTAAGTATCACCTCGTCTGATAAATCTTCCCTGCCTCTCCTGGTTGACTGAGAAAGAGAAATTCCCTTCTCTTTGTTCCTGGACCACCTTATTTTTTATTATACTTTAGCACTTATCACACCATCATGCTCAACTTGGCCACACCTTAGTCACCAAAATTCTAAAAGACTTATCATGAAAGCTAGCATTAATTGAATGCTTATTATGCTTTGTGGTTAACCCTTTGTCTTCTTTAAATAGCTCTATGAAGTAGTTACCACAATTATCTTTCATCTTACGAATGAAAAACTGAGTCTTAGAGAAGTCAAGAAACCTGATGATAACCACACTAAGTTTGACATTCAAGATTCAAACCTACGTCTGTCTGATTTCAAAGCCCATGCTTGAATTAACTACACCAAACTGCTGCCCCTGAGATAGATACTAAAATGCCTGGGACTTTGCTCCACGTACTACTGTTCAAGTCTAAAGAATTTGTGATATAAAGTCAGCAGTCCATACTGGCATTGCCCAGTGGAACTTTCTTTGATGATGAAGATGTCCTATAAATCCACATTGTTCAATATGATAGCCAATAGCCACCTATGGTTATTGAGCACTTGAAATTTGCCTGGTACCACTAAGAAGCTGATATTTCATTTTATTTAATAGTAATCCACTTAAATGTAAATGGTTACATATGGGTAGTGGCTACTGTAGTGGACAGCACAGCTCTAGAAACTTAAGCAACTCTGGATAACCTATTACTTGTACCCTGTGAATACAAACTTAGGTGAATACAATCAACTCTGAGAGAGTAATGGAATATTTTTTATTCTCTTACTTTGCCTGTAAGAATACCCATGACCAAAACTACCATATTATGCAGAATGTAAGACACCGTCAATTTTCAGATGTATTATTATTTTATGTATTACTAAGAAAACATACCATCAGTTATAATTGTGAGATACCATTGTCAGACACACCCCAATTTCAGAGATTTTTAAATGTTGGGCAAAATGCATCTTAGAATCAATAAAAATGGTATTTTTTTTCAAGACATGAGGTCTTGCTCTGTTGTCTGGGCTGGAGTGCAGTGGCACAGTCATACCTCACTGTAGCCTCAAACTCCTGGGTGTAAGCAATGCTCCCATCTCAGCCTCCCAAGTAGCTGGGACTACAGGTCTAAATCACTGTGCTCCCAGTGGTATCTTAGTTATTTTGGTGATTTCCTGGAAATTTCTTGGATGATTTTCAAATGTCATTTTTTTATATTAATCTCAAGTATAATTTAGGTCACTATTATCATAGAAAGTTAAGACTGGACAGTATTATTTCCAATTTAGCTTAATTTTTATAGTCAAAATATCTGGCAGTAGGAATTGAAATAACAACCAAAAACATTGACAGATTGTTCTTAAAATCATCCAGAAATGATACACTCTATTAATATTATGGGTGGGACCTAGTGTGTGGGCATCTATTATTTTTTCATTTATTTCTCCACAACATGTTTTCATTTAGTTTTACTGTTTTCTGGTTCAGTACATCATACAGCTTGTCTAAGTGCTAGAATGTGTAATGTGACTAATATAGAATGCAATTAACCTCAGAACCAGTTGATGATGTGTTATTTTTCTTGTGATATTGTGGTATCATCATCATTAAAGTTACTTAAACCTTCATTTTTTAGTTCAAGACCATCTGAATGGAATCTTAGGTTTATCCAGTCTTGTTCTGTAACCTTTATCTAGGCCCTCTGTAATTCCACCTTCAACTTTGGAGACATCTTAAAAACCAAGGCACAAATCTGGCTTCTATCACTGGAACCATCTCCAGCTTTGAAGGACTTAAACCCAAATGGCATGTCTTTTAATATTTAGAGAATTAAGTCCTAATCCATCCTGTTTAATGCTTTTCACTGTATTACTTAAGATGCAAAGAAAATGTCCTCTCCTTTACCCAGCTGCAACAAATTAATAAGTAATTTCAATCAAATAAGATCATTTTTATCCTGAAATTCACTCTATATCCTCCAATGCTTTGGACTCGATAAAATTGATGAAATGTGTGTGAGCTTTAAAAAATACCTGAGGCTTTGAATTCAAGATGACCCGTGACATATGCGTTTTGGTGGCATTTTTAAACTCCTGGGCAACAAAGGATTCTTATATCTAATAGATAATTAAGTTTTCAAACAGTGTAGTCTTTGGAAATGATTACTTAAATCCAAGAACAGGGTACAAGTGAGAGAAAGGTGCCACCCACCAGGCAAAATTAGAAACACTCTGAATATGAGTCATGGGGCCTTTAGAAACCATAATTCTAAGAGGGGAAACAAGACAAAACAAAACAACAACAGAGAGAGTTTGGAATCCTTTATTATAAAGGCAAAGAGCCAGTTATCCAACCACTCTTGCAGAAGGAGTGGGAGAAACTGAACCAAAGCCCAGAAGTCTATAATACCTCTCCACATACACACCCACATTTATTTATTTATTTTTTTAAAAGTTAAGTGCTGTTAATAGTATCAGTTGTCAACATTACCTTGCACCTGATTGGAGTTTTGAAATTCTCAGTGGTGCCAGTCCCTGTAAATGACATTAACAATCCACCGGCAGCCTATTTTACTCCCTCAATGAAAGAGGAGATGCATGGCATATGTTAAGTAACCCCCTGTTTTATTCCATAATTAACAGAATCACAGTAAGTATCACTTCTGAGTACCTCAAGAAGAAAGGCAATTTTGAAGCAATTTTTTCCCTGGTACCTTTTTCCGTTTTCGTTTCAAGCAGTACTGTATTATACCTTACCTTTTCTTTCTAACATATTAAGTGCTAATTATACCCCGTGGGTACACCTTGGCTGCTGTGTTAAACACATCTAGAGTTGTTTTCTTATTACCATGAAAAAAAATTTGACATGAAAGACAACCTGTGGAGGCACAAGGGGACATTGGAATAAACCTCTGTAATTTAAAGGGCCAAGCAATTCAAGGATGCTGAAGGATAGGATTGTGCTCAGAAAGAGATGCAGTAAGGTCTCTATTGTGTGGGTTTGTTTAAATGAAGAAGTGAAATGAATATTATGTAAATCAAAATGCCCCTGGAAGTGAGTGTGTGTGTGTGTGTGTGTGTGTGTGTGTGTGTGTGTGTGTGTGTGTAGGAGAGGTGGGTTCTGTGCTTTCTTGATCTACACCTCTCTGGTATTTGCTGAATATACTGCCTGATTATTTGACACCTAACACATATTCCACTGTTAGTACTTCTGCAGTATGATTTTCAGTGAATTCACTCAGGAAATAGACTACTCAGCATTTTTCTATAACCCAACTAAAGTGTAATCTCAGACCATTCAGCCCCTTGACCTGGGTGGCCTTTGGGGCGTTGCTGTGTTGGCTGCTGTTGAGTTTCTTGGTTTTGGCATTGTCAGCCATCCATGCGGGCATCCAGGCTGAAGTCCTTATTCCCATGGATGCACTCTCTGCTGCAGCTCTCAAACCACATCTGCACTGCTCTTGGGCATCTGAGACGCATTCTCCGTCTGTCTTGGGCACCCCTGTTTAGACAACTTCCGCAGATGTTTCTTCTGCTCTCCTTTCAGGCTGCCATAGAAAAATCCTGAGTTCCACCTGGGAAAGGGGTACACAGGGCCCTCATTCATGGAGTCTCAGAGCCTGTCTCGTGCTCATGTCATGGCCATGTGCCTCAACTCCTCCCTCCTGTATCTGGGCAAGTAGAAGAAGGTAAAGCACCTCCAGGCCCACAGCTCAAGGCCTCTTTGTTTGGAATAGAATTGTCCTGACTTCCCTATAACACCCCTCTCCATTGTTGCCTCCAAACAGCCCCCTCACCCCCAGCCTGACTTTTACATTATTATGTATTCTCCACATCTTTTGTCCTCTGCCCTGAGTTTACTGGGTTTAGGTTTATACAATTTAAAAAACAAAGCATCTGAAAATCAAAAGCCTTGGATTTTGGCTGAATCTTCTCATCCCCAAGGGGATAAATGCTGTGAGAAAAATAGCAAAAGGAGTACTAGGAAATGAAGTGGGTCAGTAGGAGGGGGAATCACAATAAAATCCCCAAACACTGTTTCATCACATTTTTCTTTAAAAAGTCATACCCTTCATTTCTCTATACAGAGTTAGATTCATTGAAAGCAAAAATCAACATACTGTAGCCTGACACACGCTTGTTTGTGGAGAGGAAGCGCTTTCTTTGTCTCAGTAGTTCTGGGCAGGCTGAACTGTCTGCTCCTCCGCTCATACATAGTAACTTCCTTTTTCTCAGAACATAATTGCTAGTCCCCTTTGGTTCAAGTCTCTGCTCGGATCACATTCTCAGGGGTGTAAGGAAGTTCCTATGATGTAGGAACTCATTTCTGCCATTTTTCCTCTTCTCATCGGAGTCGACTCCACTAGAGCAACACAGCTTGCCTCTGGCTCACCTATCCTTGTTCAGACTAAGGATGCTACCTGGTGGAGGACATTAGGCAGAGAATAGCCATAGGCCATGGTTCACAAGTAGAGAGAATTCATCTATTAAAAGGCTGCGAGCATTGGAGATTGGGTTTCTTTTTCCTCTTTGCCCTGGAGCAGAGCAAGGCTGCAACCCTACTTAAAGTACATCTGCCCTAGACTCCCAAACCTTCCCACAAGCTTGAGTCCCGACATCTGGGGCTGGGAGTTGGAAGGGAAATAGGGTAAAAAGTGCTTAAGCAAGCCCATTTGAGTCTGGATCATTACCATTGCAGTTCTATGGGTAGCAAAACTGACATCTCAATCTTGACCAATTCCTGAGTCTGATTCTAAATTGGTTCCAAACTTGAGTTAAAAGGGGGATTTTATTTATTGTGTCCTCCAAAACCTCAGCACTGGACACTGCTAGCCAAGAAGAGGAAGTGGCACTGTGACAGATTAACATCTCTTGTAGATGATGCAGAAAGAGCTCTGAGCCTTACTGAGAACCCTCAGCCTCTAGGAGAATAGGGGCATTACTTGGAGATAAGTAATATCTACTCTATAAAAATGTCAGTCCCTATGATTAGAATAGAATTGGGAACTTGGGCTTATGAGTTAGGAGTACCTGTGTTTAAGTTTTAGGTTTGACATATCCTATTTGTGGGTTCTTTGACAAGTTACTTAAGTTCTTTGAATCTTAGTTATCTCACCTGTAAAACGAAAATAATATTATCTGTGTTAGAGGGCTATTGTCAGGATTAAATATGATAATACATGAAAAGTTCTTAGAACATGATAGCTCAATAAATATTAGCTTTTAATTTGTATTAGTGTCACAATTTAAGTAATTTTTTCCTAAGCATGTGTACCCCCTCAAAAAGACCAAAAGGGCCCGGGTGTGCTCTCTTACCTTGTCTAAAGCGCAGGGTAAGAGGAAGTATTCTGCCACAGAGAAAGCATGTTCTGGACTACCTCCCTAAGACTTCTAATACTTTTACCTCTGGGAATAAGGTCTCTGAGTGTAACTGAGTACTCCCATTTTTCTAGAGGTGGTTTAATTATTATTTTTCAAATCTCTCTCTCTCTTGTTTCCCTGACTCCCTATTTCCTACTTAAGCCTTCAGAACTGCAAATATAACCTTTCACCTCCCCTCACCAGACATTCCCTACAGCCTAAGTTCTTCTAACTAGGTGCTCCAAGACAGATCTTGCCTCCAGAATTGACAGTGGCTTTGCAGACCAAAGCAAACCCTCCAGGAACTTTCACCCTCCAGGGGTTGCTTGGAAACTCAAATCCACTAGGAGAGCATCTTGAAAGCATGCCCACTTAGCCACTTTTTGTTGTTGTTGTCGTTGTTTGAGATAGAGTTTCACTGTGTCGTGCTGGTTGGAGTGCAGTGGTGCGATCTTAGCTCACTGCAACCTCCGCCTTCTGGGCTCAAGCGATACTCGTGCGTCAGCCTTCCAAGTAGCTGGGATTACAGGCACCCACCACCACGTCCGGCTAATTTTTGTATTTTTAGTAGAGACGGGGTTTCATTGTGTTGCCCAGTCTGGTCTCGAACTCCTGAGCTCAGGTGATCTGCCCGCCTCAGCCTCCCAAACTACTAGGATTACGGGCATGAGCCACTGCACCTGGACAACTTAGCCACTTTTACAACATACTTCTGCCCAGGAAGGCACCAACTCAACTGCCTAGTAAACGACTGCCTGGTAGCAGGGGGACCCCTGCCCTTGCTCATTTCCTTCCTTATCTTATAAAAATGCCCACTTTCTGCTCCAAAGGTGAAGCGGCACATGTAAAGGCAGGATACTTTATGCCCCTTCCCCTAAGCTAGCTTTGGAATAAATTCACTTTTTTTGCATAAGACTCCATTCTTGTGAATTGAAGTGTACTGTTGTGTGGTGAGCAACTAGCCCACATTTCAGTTAACATGAGGACAATGTCAAATAGTTGAAATATATCTTCTTTGTTAATAGAAGAAGTTACTGGAGTTGAAATAGCCTCTACTGTGCTGTTCAACTTTTGATATATGTTATGCAAATAATGCTTCTATAACTTCCACATATATTTATCTCAAATGGAACTTTGAACAAATCTTTTAAGTGTTATCTAATTTGGCTGCCCTCTCAATTGGTGTGCCTAGACCTGTGTGTAGATATAAATGATTGAGAGTTGACTGTACTATTGGACTTGATCTATGTATTTGGAAACCTAAAATATCTAAACTTTTTGTAAAGTTTTACTTTTAGAAAAGTTTCTTTTACTAGCCTTTAGTGAAAAGTTACTGTTTGTATAATGTTGAAAAAGTGGCTCTCAACCAATAGGATGAAAGTGAGGGCAAAATTATTTATTTACTTAATTCATTACAAGTAAGATTTCTTTCTAGTCAATAGATAACTGACTGCAATTTATAATCTAATGCTGATGGAGAAAAAGTTAATGGAAATTTTAGTGAAAACAAAATGGTAAATAACAGTAATGGGTGTCTGAGGACCTAATGCTCCCCAGATTCTGCTTAACTCCTGAAATTTCTAAACCAGAGGATGGTTAGAGAATAGTAGTAAAACATAATTATGCCACATGAAGGGCATTTACCATTTGATTTCAGCCCAATGGGCTTTTCTTGAAACAACAAGAAAGGCTTACAGAGCACAAATTCAGGAATAAGCTGTATAGTAGAATAAATAAATGAGTTTCTAAGGTGGGAAACATAATTGGAAACTTAATAATGTTTTTAATTGGTCCTATAAAGACCATATGGGAGGCCTAGTTCCTGCCCTCTAGAAGTACTTTTGTCATTTGACAACTTTCCTTCATTTTTATTAAGCTCCAGGCTTCTGAAGCCTAGCAGAGTAATTTGCACAGAGCAGCCAGCAAGTGAATATTTGTTGCTTTGGTGGATCCAAGGACACTCTTGGGGAGGCTGATCTTTCGCTACTAGTGAAACATGAATGGTGTTTGAAGGGAGGTCAGACTTGACCTGCTGCTGTGCTGTTAGCTGTAATTTCACTTTTTACATGTTTAGTCAGTTAACACAGGGATTCACCATATATTTCAGATATCTCACTTGTTCCCAATTATTTTGGAGCCACACAACATTCCAAAGCAGCTTCCAAACAGTGCTGGAGAATTTGCTTCCATGGCTACCTTTAGGGTCAGTCAATGCCCAAAGAAGAGGATTAAGAATTTATTAAAAGTGTTGCCTACCTAGAATATGCTTGGTTAAATTTTACTAAGTATTTGTGGAAGGCTTTGCTTTTCTGTATCTGGGAGTCTCCTAGTTGGTCTTGACGATTCAATGGCAATATCCCCTTTCTGAATTTCTCCCAAACTCCACTCAAAGCAAATTTAGTGTCTCCTCCACAGTGACTCAGTAACACTCTGTAGCTCCTGATATATATGGTGTCATAATTACCTGCTTAGAGATTATCACATTGTTTTGAAATTATTTGTCATCTAACTTAAGCTCCTTGACATTCACCTTGACATTAGCAATTATTGGTCCTTGGTTTCACACCTGGCAAATAATCAGGAATCAATCAGACCCTTGAAGGTGCTCTGTAAAAATTAGTCAAATAAGTGAATGCCAATATAGACTCAAACCCGGTTGTTTGTAAAGATGCAGTACAACACTGTGTACATCTGATAAATAATTTACTGGAGCAAATGAATGGCTCCTAAGTTCAGTTTGGAAAACCACACCTATGTGACTTTTCTGGTTCTGCAGGCTGCAGGTGTTAATAAGCAAAAATTTCCTTAAGCTGTGGGTGGACCTGGAGTGTAAGTGAGGCAGACTTTCAGTGAGATGGAACCTAGTAAACTTTTTTCCACTCCAGAATGGGCATTTGAAATTAGCTACCTCTCAGTCCTGGAACTTAGGCTTATCTATGACTGACTCCAGCCATCATTTTGAACAGTTTATCATTCTAATTAGAGAATATATTTGATCACCTCTGCTCTGCATACACTTCTCTATTAAAAGCACTTACCAGGAAGTAAGTAATTTGTTTCTATGTCTGTGGCCAGACAAGACTGTGAAATATTTGAGGGTGAAGCTTCTGTCTTGTTTATTTCTATATTTCTATTTTCTGATGTGGTGCTTGGTATATAGTATATAATCAACAAATAGTTTTTGATGGAAATGAAGAAGGGCAAATAGATTGAGAATAACTCCCTTTCTTTGTCCACTAGCCCGAATTGTGTTTTCTATACTCACCTATTCTTTGTGGTTCTGTGTCTGGGTCACTTATCCAAAATCAGGCTTATAAAGCCAAACATTTAAAGTCATACACAAAAAACCATTTGGTATTTCGATAATTATTTTTGAGTGTTTAGTATGTGCCAGGTGTTTTGAATACAAATATGAGCAAGACATGGCTCTGAGCTCAATGAGCACATCATATTATTAAATAGCACATAATGGCAGTCATTAGTTAATGGTCATCACAAGCTAATGGTTTTACTCAGAATCCAGCTACCAATAAGCTCTTGGATGCCCTGAGAAATTACTGAGATGGAACAATATTTGTGTAAACCATGACTTAAGGGGAATAAAGTACCATAACATTTTCCCATACTGGAATTGTTTTACAGAAAAAGTGTCAAGTCCTAGAATTATGAATATCAAAATTTTCACCAACACATACCCTTTAGTAAACAAAAAGAAATAGGAAATGTATAGTTTTAGTGCAGCCCTCACTTCAAAAGAAGTAGTTTATTTTTTTGAATATCAAATGTCCCGTTGATAGGTCAGATGAAACAAATAAGGGTCTTTTGAGTTCTTTTTTTAAGAAAAACCCACAACATAATATGGGGAAAAGTTCATATTTAATAATTTTTTCACATACAGAGGATGTCTGGGAAGAATGCTGATAACATCATATTGTAGATTCACTTGTATTCTCAGCAGGGAGACCCTAATTGCCTTAATGATGGAAGACAGGAGAAGAATGTACCAGCCAGAATGTTGGTACCAGAACTGAGTAGCAATTTTCTCACTTACAATGTTAGTACACGGCAATCTGTATAGTGGAGTTACGTCTTACACAAGGGTTGAGTTCTAAAGGCAGAACATAAAATAAACCTTTTATTAATCTTATCTTTGGAAATCCCTTAGGGAAAAGCCTAATGTTGGAGGTGGAAGTGGCTATAGAGTGCATTAACTTGGTTAAATTAGGACTACATTTTCTAGAATTCCCTTCTATGTATGATTCTGGATTAGAATTAGATTCTGGGCACAAGAAAACTTTGCACACAGTTTGCAAGGCAGAGAGAAGTGGCAGCCATTATGCTTGTCAGGTTGGTTAAAGGCACTCAGAGCTACAGTGCTTGTGTGCATCGCTGATCTACTGCCTCACCTTGCTGGCTACAGGGCTGCAGCTGAGCCTAAGGCTTCTTCAGCTGTGGCCACATCTCCTCCTTTAGCTTCTCTAAATCTTGGACTACTGCATGTGTAGTTCCATGGTGAAAGCCACCAGCTCCTCCTACTACAGGTCTCTAGCCTTGACCAGGCTGCAGATGGTCAGATGCAGATGTGGGTTCCATTTTGTTCTTTGGGTTCCAGTTGTCCTTGTGGGTTCTGGTGTGTCCTTGTCCTCCCCCAGTTCACATCCAGCTTTTCTTCTCAATATCAGTCTTGCTGAGAAATCTCAGGCCCACTATCAGATGCTGAAGCAACAGCCTTCCATAGATTTCTTTACCAACTTCCATAATTGGGTAAGCCCTAGTCTTTGTAGCCCTTATTCTCTGTACCACTCATAGTGCTTCTGCTTATCTGCCTGAGCCCTAACTGACACAGAGACTATCATACAACTAGTAATAAGTCCACTGACAGGATTTTCCAGTTTCCTGTCTCTACCTCCACCCCCACCCCACTGGGCACCTGATGAAGTAGTTGGCTTCAATTTAAGAATCATGTTGTTAAAAAAAAAACATATCTTTAAACCCAAGATTCATACTCAGTGCAGTAAGATGCCCACACAGTGAGAGACACTTACAAACTATGGGAAAAACAGATTACTGTTGCCCATCTCAGTCTCACTACAGAGGATAGCTCATTGAGTGGGAAGAGTGTGCAAAATTAGCCAGACCTATTTAAGCTGTTTCTCCTTTTCCTTTATCTAGCATATGTGGCTGCACTTCAGTAAGTAAAATGTGCATATAACACAACTCACTTAAGCATACTGACTTTATCATCGGACATTTTCTTCATCTTCTTTTTAGTTTTAGTCTTGATGACTCTTTGCCCTCAGGTTTTTTCACCCCAGGTGCCCTTGCACTGTAGGAAACTGAATTCCACTCTTTCCCTCTTCTTCCCCTCAATCTCCTTGGGGCCCTCCTTCAGCTTTAATCTCTCTTCCCAAACATCTACAATTTGAGATTTGCATGATTGCTACTTCAAAGTTGTAAACTGAGCAAATTATATCTGTGGATTTTGTTACCGAAGTGAAATGAGCATGCCCAGGCCATTTGAAAACTTCATGGGAAACACTTCCAGTCTTAAAAGGATTATAAGAGGATCATGATTTATCCTATTGTTCAGTAAGAAGAGCAAAGTTTCTTGGTAAGCAGATGCTTGGAAGCAGATGCTATTTCAGTATTGGCACTTCAGGATTGTGTAAATCTTGTTCTTGGCTGTGAGTTTTAATTAATGAACTGCCTACATTAAGGTTGGTTTTCTTGATTTATTGAGATTTTGTTTTACCTTCATTCTACTTAACTAAATCCACAAGCTTCAACCTTGATTTACTGCCTTGTTTCAACTGAAAACATAGTTCCCTAAACAATATTTATAACTTTTTTAATAGGACAGTTATTGAAAAACAAACCTCTGTTCGCTATAATGGTATTAGAAAATTGTAAAAATTCAGTATCTTATTGTTTTCATCTTCTCACTTCCCTTCCTAAAAACCCACAGGGCTCCTCATTGCCTAGAAGAGAATGTCTCAACCTTTTTTTTTACCCAACACATGGCCCAGTGGTTTTCACTTGGCAGATAAACTCCCACAAGCTTCAGAGTCCCAAGGAGGCATACACTCAGGATTCTATTTGTAACCCATATCCCTCGGCCTCGCCAGGGCAAATGAGGTCACAGTTTAACCTAGTGTCTCTTGATTGATGATCTCCACCTGCGTGAGAGTAGGATGCCCTTCTCAGGTTTCTTCTAATTTCTTTCAGGGAGTCTCCA
This sequence comes from Homo sapiens, assembly GCF_000001405.40. Lineage (NCBI taxonomy): Eukaryota > Metazoa > Chordata > Mammalia > Primates > Hominidae > Homo > Homo sapiens. Next base: position 45,568,839 of record NC_000012.12, on the reverse strand, counting down.
GGGGTATTTCACATGGGCTCCCAGCCCTCTGCATGTGCCTGGGCTGTTTCTCAGTTCCAGCCTGTTGATCCCTGCACTGGCCAAGGGCTGATGCTTCCCCTGCCATGCTGACTTCAAGGTGAGTTACTCCTACATTACTGGACTAAGAACCGTCACAGGGCCTTTCTTAATTCTTCCCAGCCCTGTGGAGACCAGGCTTTTATGTCAGCCAAAACTTTACTGAATGGTCAGGAAAACAGAGGAAATTACAGCAAAGAGACTTAAAACTGGTTATTAAATATGGAGGCTCTTGAAGCCATCCATTGTAACACACCATTATTCTGGGGTGCCTTACTTAATGAGTCCTTGCTGTAGGGTTTTGTCCCCAACTAGATGCCCACTTCCTGTCCTGCAGAGTATGTCAGCTACCCTTAGTACCACTTACGCAGTCTGAATATTTGGAACTGCAAGCCTAAGAGGGTAAAATCCAGAGGGGATGAAATCCTTTATCTCCTGTTTATGGTCTGCCTTATCAATGGTCTCTCCCAGTCCACAGATCTGCCTTTTGCCAGAATGACTGTGAGTGAGAAAGTCCTCTCCCCTTAGGAGAGACCTTAATTCCTATCCACAGGTGGGGCTTTGCCTTCAAAGTAAACCATAGTGTAACACTGCAGTCCAGCTCCATACAATGGATACACAGATGTAAGAGCATCATTCCCTTATGTTTACCTCTTCCAAATTACAAAAGAAAGGATGGCTCCTTCTTTTTTAATTTCTCAAAGTCTTGGTTGAGTAGTTTCAAATAACATCAAAGCTAGACCAGCTTCTCTTTAAGCTTTTGTCTAATATGAAGGGAAAATTGTGCCTACGTGTTCTTCCTGAAGTCTCAGTCTTTAATGTCCCAGTACCAACTACTCAACTAGAAGCTCACATATCTTTATGAGACAAGCAGTTTCTTCTTCAGATTGTGAGGTATAATCTAGATTCATACTTAGAAGGAAACCCACGTCCTAGGGAAATTATTTGTGGACTATACATCTGCTTTAAACATATAAAGTCTTTTGCTTTAGGCCCATAGCTTCTCAATTTGCACAGTTAAATAGCTCACTGATGTGTCAGTTGGTATAGACAAGATTGTGCTGAAATAATAAACAATCCTCAAATTTTAAGTGGCTTAAAATAAAGACTTCTTTCTTCATTTATGTTGTATATCTATCTAAGGTTGTCATGGAGGATATGTTCACCGTAATTACTCAAGAACCTGGGGTGGTGGAATAGTTTTCTTGTCAAACATTGCCAGCCTCTCTATGATAGGAAAACAGAGCTTCAGAGGTTCTTGTATTGGCCACTAAGTGCTTCCAACTCAGGTATACATCCCTCACTCAAACACAGAGGAGCTGGGAAGTTCAAACCTACAATGACACCACCCTGACCCTTTTTCTGAGACTTGAAACAATACATTCAGCTATATATTGAACATCTCACAGTCACATAATAATAGTTCAGATCTACTGATGCTCACCAAGCCCAGGCATTGTACTACAACTGTGCTTTCCCTGTGTAACTCACTTTAACCTTAAGGATAATGTCATGAGGTAGATGCTATTATTATCCCCATCTTACAAATGCAGAAACTGAGGTTCAGAGAGGATGAATTACTTGTTGTAAATGGCCAGCTGTTAGGTGGCAGAGCTGGGATTGGAATCTAGGCAGTCTCGTTCATAAGCCACACTCTTAACCATTCACTGTATGTGTCTATTCAACTTGCCAAATCTGAGCTCGTCATCTGCCTACCACACCACTCCTCTGCTGCTCTTTCTGTGTCATTCCTAATTTGGGTAGATGGCCAACTACCAGCTACCTGGTTACAAATATCAGAAATCTGGGAGTTGTTCTTTATTCCTCTTTTTCCCTGAACTTCTGCATCCAATCCAAGCTAGCCCTCAGGGCTTCAAGGCTGACCTCCATCATCTTCTCTAGCCCTGGTACTGCAATCTTCTCCTAAATGGTTTCTAGAATCACATGACCCTCTATTCTTCACCATGCAGTCAGAATGGACTTCTAAGAATAAGTATCTGAAAAATCTGATTGTGTTAATCCTTTGCTAAAAATCCTACAACCAGTTTCCTATGAAGTAAGGTCTGAAAGTTTATTGTTTTCCCTTTTTTTCCCTCCCTGCTCTACTACATATTTCAGCTTAACTGTCACTTCTTTACAGAGACTTTCAGACTAGGTTGGGTCCCTTTTCTAATGCTTCACTAAGGTGATATACTTATTTGTAAATATCTATTAATCACACTTATAATGACTTGTTCAATGTTTGTTTTCATCATTAGGAAATAAGTTACCCAGTGAGAGGAAGAGTGTTTATTTTGTTCATTGCTGTTATCCATGGCACCTTAACACAATGCCTGGCACAGGGCAAGGCATTCAGCACATACTTATTGAATGAATGCATGCATTCATGCACGCGTACATGTTACTAGCAACAAATTGCTTGCAATTCACATCACAGCTGATTACAATTTTGCAGCTGAGAGTCTCTGATCAGACAGTATTGAGCTCCTTTAGCTGACAAAAAGTGTAAGACAGTAGGAGAAAGCTAGGCTTTGACCTTAGGCCTGAGTTCAGATGCCAGATTGCCATTGACATAGGAGACAGTGGATAAGTTATCTAAATACTCTAATGATAATCTCATCAGTAAACTCGGGAGAAAAATCACATCAAAGAGTTGACCTGGAAATTAAGTAATGTAATGTTACCCATTGTCCAGGTCTCCCTGTAGCAATCTCACTGTACTTTGCCAACTCTTTTGCTAAGGCCTCAAAATAAAAATAATAAAATAATAATTGGTGCCTCTTCCTCCACCAGAAATGCCATCCCTATTTCTTCTTGCTGATATATGTTCATTTTCTTAAACTATGGCTCAAAACTCATCTTTTAAAATAATTTAATAATCATTTCAAATAACTTTTCCAATATTCTTGTTTCTGTTTCCTCAGCATTTAAATAGAAAGTTCACTCTATATTGATTTGTGCTTGATCACACCTGCATTTGTGGATATTTTCCAGTTGATTTCCTGGACAGATTACAACTCCCTGGAGGTAGTTCCTTTGTTTCACATGCTGCAAAGTGCTTTCTGCAAAGTTGGCAAGCAGCATCTTAATCAATTGTCATTGAATTAATTAATTAATTAATTCACTCATCCTATCTAGGAAGTAGAAGTTGTTCTACTCATATTTGTCTCTCACAGTTGTAAGTTTCAGCCAGAGCTATTTTAAACAGAAAAAAAGGACCTCACATTGACAGGTTATAATGCAGCTGTTTTTAGTCTTTAATTTGTTTTATTTGACATATAAACTAACCCTGGGGTGCTGTGTTTTTTAAGATCTTATTTCTCAAAGACACTACTCCAGTGAGATAAAAGAATCAAATTTTCTTAGTTTGCCTGTTAAACTGAACATGCCAAAAAAATTGAAAAAATAAATTTAAAAAAGTTATTAGAAAAAAATAAATAACTAGAATAGTCCTGATCTATTAAACAAATTGAATTCACAGTTAAAAGCCTTCTCCACACCTGCTCCCCCACGAAAAAGAAAAACAAAAAAGGTCTAGGCCCAAAAGGCTTCACTAGTGAAGTCTTTCTTTTTTTTTTTTTCTTTTTTTGAGACAAGGTCTTGTTTTGTCACCCAGGCTCAAATGCAGTGGTGTGATTATAGCTCACTGCAGCCTCAACCTCCCAGGCTTAAGCCATCCTCCTGCCTTAGCCTCTTGAGTAGCTAAGACTACAGTCATGAGCCACCAAGCCCAGCTAATTTATTTATTTATTTATTTATTTTTGAGACAGGGTCTTTCACCCAGGATGGAGTGCTGTGGCACGATTATGGCTCATTGCAACCTCTGCCTCTCAGGCTCAAGTGATTCTCTCACCTCAGCCTCCCAAGTAGCTGGGATGACAGGCGCTTGCCACCATGCCTGGCTAATTTTTGTATTTTTAGTAGAGATGGGGTTTTGCCATGTTGCCCAGGCTGGTCTTGAACTCCTGAGCTCAAGTGATCCTCCCGCCTCGGCCTCCCAAAGTGTTCGGATTACAGGTGTGAGCCACTGCCCCTGGCCCCAGCTAATTTACAATTTTTTATTTTTAGTCGCGATGAGGTCTTGCTATGTTTCCCAGACTGGTCTCGAACTCCTGAGCTCAAGCCATCCTCCCACCTCAACCTCCCAAAGTGCTGGGATTACAAGTGTGAGCCACTGAACCTGACTTCACTAGTGAGTTCTATGAAACATCAAGAAAAAGAAACCAATTCTATATAAAATTCTTTTAGGAAATTAAAGAGGAAGGAATGCTTCCAAATTCATTTGTAAGACCAGAATTATCTTGAAAGGTACCCAATATGTCTCATGAAAACAGATGCAAAATCCTTAACAAAATATTAGCAAATTAAATCCAGCAATATGAGAAAAGGCTAATACAACATGACCAAGTAAGGTTTATTCCAGGAATACAAGGTTGGTTCAGCATTCAAAAATCAGCATAATTCACTATATCGACAATGTAAAAAATCCATATACTCATCCCAATAGGATCAAAAAAGACTTTGACTAAATTTAAACTCCACTCACGAAAAAACACAACAATAACAAAACTCAGTGAATACAAGGGAATGTCTTCAACCTGGTAGCATGCGTCTATCAAAAAATCTGCAAAAAAAAAAAAACCCTTAATAATAATTGACTAAATAAATGTCTTTCCTGTAAAATCAGAAAATCAGGAATCCACTATCACTACATCTTTTTAGTATTGCATTGGAGGTCCTAGCAAGTGCAACAAGGCAAAATAAATAAATGGCATGCATTTTGTAAAGGAAAAATTAAAACTTCATATTCTCAGATGATATGATTTTCTACATAGCAGATCCCAAAGAATCTACCAACAAGCTACTAAAATTAACAAATAGGTTTAGCAAAGTTTTAGGATATAAGCTCAAAATACCAAAAAAATTCAATTGTATTTCTATGTACTAGTAATAGACAATTAGGAACAGAAAATTTTGGAAAGCACTATTTAAAATAGCATCTAAAACATAGAAAATTAAAGATAAACCTAACAAAATATCTGTCCAATTTATAAATTAAAAACTAAAAGCCATCGATGAGAGAAATCAGAGAAGACCTAAATAAATGAAGAGCATATTGTCTTAGTGAATCAAAAAACTCAATAGTGTCAAGATGTCAATTTTCCCCAAATTGATATATATATTGAGTAATTCCAATCAAAATCCTACAAGGCTTTTGGTAGAAATCAACAAACTGATCCTAAAAATTATATGGCAACCCTAAGGACATAGAATAGCTAAAAGAATTTTGAAAAAAAAAAAAAAAAAAAAGCAAAATTGTGTGACTAACCCTTCCTTATCTCAAAACTTACTATAAAGCTACAGTAATCAAGACAGCACAGTACTGGCAAAAGGAAAGGCACATAGATCAATTGAACAGAATAGAGAGCATAGAAATAAGCCACACAAATATTGATTTCCAGCAAATATACCAAGATAATACAACACAAAAGATCAGCCTTTCGAACAAATGGTGCCTGCCTATTTGGCCATCCATGTGTAAAACATGAACATCAATCCATATCTCACACCATATTTAAAAGTTCACTGGAAATTGATCAGAGACCTGAATTTAAAATTAAAATTATAATGTCATTATAGGAAGAAAATACAGAAAAAACGTTGCGATTTGGGGTTAGGTGAAGATTTCTTAGGAAGGACACAAAAAGCATGATTCATAAAGGAAGAACGTTAATAAATTAGATTTCAGCAAAATTTAAAAATTCTGCTCTTCATATAACATTGTGAAAAAAATGAAAGGACAAGCCCAAAACAGGCAGAAAAAATGTTTGGAAAATACCTATTCCAGAAAAGACTGGTAACCAGAATATATACAGAACTTTTAAAACTCAATATTAAGAAAACAAACCAATTAAAAGTGGGCAAAAGATTTGAAGAGATACTTCATCAAAGAATAAGATGCACATGGCAAGAAAACACATGAAAATATGTTCAATATTATGTCAGCGGAGAAATGTAAATTAAAAGCACAATGAGATACCACTACAACTACACACCTGTTATGATGGCTCTAACAACAAACTGACAATGTAAGATGCTTGTGAGGATGCTGAGTAACTGAAATTCTCATGCATTTACTGGTGGGAGTGCAAAATGGTACAGCCACTTAGGCAAACAATTTGACAATTCCTTTTAATGTTAAACATACACTTATTGCGTGATTCGAAAAACTTCTATTTAGGCATTTATCCTAGAGAAATGAAGACATGAGTCCACACAAAACCTGTATGGGAATGCTTATAGCAGCCATATTTATAGTTACCCAAAACTAGAAAAAACCAAACAACCAAACAACCAAATACTGAATGGATAAATGAATTGTGGTACATCCATATAAACATAATGGAACACTATACATCAATAAAAAATGAATAAACTAAATATGTTCACAACATTGCTGAATTAAGCATTTTGCCAAGTGAAAGAAGTCAGATTCAAAAGGCTACATCTGTACAATGCCCTTTATATGACATTCTGGAAAAGGCGGAACTAGAAATCAGATCTATGGTTGCAGGTTTCCAGAACTAGAATAGAGGTAGGACATGAAGAACCTTTTAAGATGATGAAAATATTCTCTACCTTGATTGTGAGATGCTGTATAAACGTCACAAAATACATAGAACTGTATATTTTGAAAGATGAATTTTATTGTTTGTCAATTATACTTCACCTTGTAAAATAACACCTTACAGATCTCCTAAAGAAAATGTGTGTAGGCCAGGAGCAGTGCCTCATGCCTGTAATCCCAGCACTTTGGGAGGCTGAGGCAGGCAAATAGCTTGAGGCCAGGATTTCGAGACCAACCTGGGCAACAGGGTGAAATCCCATCTCTAAAAATAATACAAAAATTAGCTGGGCATGGTGGTGCAAGCCTGTAGTCCCAGCGACTTTGGAGGCTCAGGTGGGAGAATCGTTTGAGCCCAGGAAGCAGAGGCTGCAGTGAGCTGTGATCACGCCACTGCATTTCAGCCTGGATGACAGAGTGAGAGAAAAGAAAGAGAGACAGAAACAAAGAGAGAAAGTAAGAGAGGAAGGAAGGAAGGAAGAGAGGAGGGAGGGAGGGAGGAAGGAAGGAAGGAAGGAAGGAAGGAAGGAAGGAAGGAAGGAAGGAAGGAAGGAAGGAAGGAAGGAAACGTGTGTGAATGAAATTACAAAAGCATCAAAACCAGCTCCACATGGCAGTTCCAAACTCTTTTCTGCTCCAGCTTCCCCTCCAAACACTATCCCACCTGGAGCTGGGCTTATGCTCCTGAGCAGGTGGATTCAGGAGGGAAGAAAGAAATTACTTTCTGAGCATTAGCTCAACACTGTTTGGCCAGGAATTCCAAGTTTCATATAGGGAAAATTCTACTCTGCTTGAAAATAGTAATTTAAAAAAGGAATTACCTATGAAATTTACCTATCAAGGAATAAAAGAATGCTGGTTTGAATAATTTTAAGTTAATCAATTTGTAAATGGTTAAGGCCATCTCCAGAAGAAATGTTTGTCTTTTTCAATTTTCACATTTCATTAAACATATAAATCCTACATTCTCTACCTTGGATATTTTTGTCCCCATATCTTAATGTGTGCATCTCGAAAAAATAGTTTTATCCTTAAGTACAAGGAAAATTTCCAGCATGTTTTGCCAAAAAACCACTTACTGGGATAAGCACAATTCCACGACAATGAAAAATTGTGAGGTAGCATTCAAAAGATTCCTGCAGCTTTCCAAACTGGTTTAACAGTTGTGACATATAGTTCTAAGCAAAAAGAGTGCAGGTCAAATATTATCCTGCATATTTACATTTTGGAAGTCTTGCTTTTTTTCCTCTCTAATAGTCTCCGTAGGAGGTCTCATCAAGAATATTTCATATCCATGTTGCTAAATACTTATAAAATTTGAAGACCAGCACCAAGGTATCTTATTTCAAATGTTGGGCTGCATCATTTTCCATGATGGTCCATTATGTTCCTTTCTGTACTTGAAGCTTCGCCTTTTACGGGTCATGAATAAAGTTTGGATGAGTTTCCCATGCCTTAGGATCTTGCATAGAAATATATGACAGTCATATGTTTGATATTTTCTGGGACTTCCACAATTAAAATTTTGTTTCCAGTTGTTAACCTTGTGTCCCAGATTTTGACAGAGAAATACAGTCATTCTATTTGGAAGGGTAAAGATGGGTTTAATAAAATGTAACCCCAAAAGCTCTTCATTGTTTCTCAATAAGTTATATCTTAACTGCAACAGGCCCATGAATTTGTTATTTTTATGAGATCAATTTGATTATAGTTAGTGGCAAGAAAATACTGGGGAAATGTGATAGCATGAAAAATAAATTTTGAAAGCGTATCATTATTGGATATACTTACTGTTAAAGGACCAGATGCTCTTTCTCAAACCATCAGAAAACTTTTATTATCATCCATTTGTCTTTATCTCTTTTAACTTTTGCTTTTTTATTAAAATGGACTGAATTGAATTATTTATTTAGGAGGACTTTCTGTATGTAAAAATCAATATGTCACAGTGTGATTGTCATAGCACAGAACTGATTACAATATGGAATTCAGGGAAAGTTCCCATATTATAGGCTTCTCGTATTCAAGAGAGAGGCCATGGTATTAATAATCTCTTTCTTTAAGATATTTAAACTCAAGCAGCCGAGACAGAACACTTGAACGTTATCTCCCAAACCTGCTTTTTAAAAATCTTTTCTGTTGCTTATGTTTGAAAGTCATTGTTCATCTCTTTCTCTCCTTCAACTCCCAAATTTAACCCCTCAGCAAGTCTCAAATACATCTCAAATCTGTCCACTCTTCTACAGCTTCATGGCACTAGTCCAAACCATCATCTTCTTTCATCATCTTCCATCTAGAGCAGGGGTTGGCAAACTTGTTTTATAAAGGGCCAGATAGTAGATAATTTAGACTCTACAGGCCATATGGTCTCTGAGGCAACTGCTTAACTCTGCCGTTGTAGCATAGAAACAGCAGTAGACTATATGTAAATGAATGGGCATGACTGAGTTCCAAACAATTTTAATTATGAAGGCAGGTCCTTGGTCAGTATTTTGCGTACGCCTGATCTAGTCTATTTCAATCAACTTCTTACTCCCCATGTCCACTCTTGCTTCCCTCCAGTTCCTTCATAATGCAATCAGAATTATCTTTTCACAATTGGAATCTGATTACATAGGCCAAAGACTTTCCATTGCTCTACGGTCTGAGTTTCTTGCCATGGCCAAAAGGCCCCGCATTTTTTTTTCCCTCCTTCCCTTGGCCTTGCATTTTTTGTATCTGACTTCTGCTCTAGCCTCACGAAGTATCATTCTCCTTAGTCTGTATGTTTTACTCACAGGGACTGTTCTTCCCCCTTGGAATTTTCTCTCCAACTGTCACTGCCCAGTTAACTCCTAGTTATCCTCCAAATCTCAATTTGTATGTCATTTACTTCCAAATATCTCCTCTAACCACCATCTTCATTCAGGCTAATTTGGATGCCCTAGCAATAACCTTCATAGAAATTGTAATTAAATCATTAATTTTATAATTATTTATTTAATATTTCTCCCATTTAATAGTAAAGTCCCTGAGGGATCTTGTTCACTGCATATCTTGTTCACTGGGTCTGACATAGTACCAGGTACATGGCACATATGCCAGTTAGTAATGCATTTGGTTGCAAATAACAGAACCTGATTGCAATAGCTGAACCAAATGGAGATTTTTTTTTTTTTTTTTTGAGATGGAGTCTCACTGTGTCACCCAGGCTGGAGTGCAGTGGCGCAATCTCGGCTCACTGAAAGCTCTGCCTCCCGGGTTCATGCCATTCTCCTGTCCCAGCTTCCCGAGTAGCTGGGACTACAGGTGCCCGCCACTGCGCCTGGCTAATTTTTTTGTGTGTTTTAGTAAAGACGGGTTTCACTGTGTTAGCCAGGATGGTCTCTATCTCCTGACCTTGTGATCCATCCTCCTTGGCCTCCCAAAGTGCTGGGATTACAGGCGTGAACCACTGCGCCCAGCTGATTTTTTTTTTTAATCACATAGGAAAATGTCTGAAGACAAGCAGTCCAGTGGTGGTATAGTGTCTCTAAAATGTCATCAAAGCTCAATGATCCATCTCGTTATTGACTGTATCCTCATGGTTACAAGATGGCTGCCACAGTTCCAGGAATTGCATCTGCATTCCAAACAGAAAGTTTAAAGATACTGCCAGATAAATTTCTCCTACTTAAAACAAAAAGCAAAAAACAAAAACTCTTTTCTTTATCTCTCATTATCTAGCCCTAGTAAGATGGTAACCCTTGGCTGCAAGTGAGTCTTGGAAGTTATTATTTTTGTAGAACGTGCTGACATCTTGAAAGAGATGGGATTATATTAGTTAGGAGTAAAAGGAGAATGAATACTGAATAGGCAAGGAGTACCATCTGCCCTAGTAGACAGATTCACTAAATATTTTTTGAATAAACCAATGAAGACTCAAAACTGCTTAGAAATTGAAATAAATCTATTACAGGAAAAGAATATGAGTAACAATGGCACCTGGGCCTATATCAATTTTCTCTTTTTAACAAATTTTACTCTGCTTAATTTTATTGCTTCATTTGCTATAAATGTTTCCAAGGGTCAAAAAAAATAGGCAATTAGCGGGACATAATCTAAACTTAAAATAGTCATTTGTTGTTTTTGGCTTTTGCTCCTGCAGAAATCTTCAAACAACACTAAGCTGGAATGCCTTTACTGATATGTGCATTTTAAGCCAACATTATTTTCTTTGTAAATACCTTATTACAAAATTATAACATATGAATATTTTAGCAGTAATAATATGGGTAATAGTCCTTAATGGCCTGATCTGCCTATAGGCTCCTAGTTCAGTATATAGTATTATTTTCAGGCAACACTATAAAAATCTGATTTTATGTTGCCCCGCTGTGAACATCTTCAAGTCAAATAGCAGAAGCGATGCTCTTCTCTTATTTAATTTTTTAATAGCTCCCTAACCTACATTCTGAAGAATCTATATATAAAATGTAACTAGGAGACAGTCTTAATAACAAAACCATCCAATCTTTTGCAGTCTGTTTTTCTGGTGTAAACTATTTTTTGCAGTTCTGATTCAGTTTAGAAAAGTGAAAATTGGATTTTTCTGAGGCATTAAAGAATTGGAGCAAAGATGTGTTTTTAAGGTTGAGTTATAATATTAAGGATCTTAACAGTGTTTAATAGCACTTGAGAACTTGTTATATGGGAAACTTAAATCATTTCACCAATATCAGCCCCTTGGTCAATGTTCTGGACCTGTTGGGCTGCTCTACACCCTTGCCTCTTTCCTTGGTCAGTGCTCCTTGACTTCCTTATGGGGATATCACCTCTCCCACTGGGTGCAGAGTGGTGGGACTGCTAGGACTCCAGCCAGGAGCTGGACTTCTCTCCTGACTTTGGACAACTTCTGTATTTGGGACTTATTTATCAGACCACTGCCACTGGGTGCCTAGTCTCACAGGCTGCCCTAGTTCCTGTTCTTCTATGACCTGGCTCTCCAACTTCTCTTTGCTTCTATGAGCTGGTTTACATCTTTCCAACAAATTCCACTCCTCTTGGCTGCAGTTGCTGCAACCAAAGAGCCCCAGTGATACAATCTGCTACACTGGAATATAAGCACCATGACACAGGCAGTGTGGCAGAGACTGCTAGACAACTAGCCAGTATCATTTCTTCTTTACTAACAGATTCCTGATTTTACTTAGGATAGAAATATGCCCAGCTAAAAATGTTCACCCTCCCATTCTGGTTTCCAGTGAGGGGTGGCCACGTGATGTAGCTCTGGTCAATGACATATGAGCAGAAGTCTGTTGGTGATTTCTATAAAGCCTTTACTTTCCTAACACGGGCATTGCCTCTTCCTTCTCTGTTTTCTTTTGCTTGTTTGGTATGCAGATATAATTTCTCACAGTGGAATAGTTATCTTGTGATCATGAAAGGACAAGTGTGCGTATAAAAATCAGCCCTTTAAGGAGGGTAAACAGACAGAGAGAAGCTGGGTCCTTGATGGCATCACAGCCTACCCTGCCAATCTTGGCTGCCTCCCTCATGATTTCTCATTAGGCCAAAATTATAAAACTCTCTTTGGTAAAGCCACTGGAGTGGGATTTTCCATTACTTAGTGTCATACTAATATTCCTAACTAATATGGGTGTTTTGTCTATTATTATGTATTCAGTGTTTGAACCCCTACCCCTAAAACAGTGCCTGATATATAACAAACATTAAAATATATTTGTTAAATGAATGAATGAATGATAATTGCTAATGAGAGAATCTTCATTTCTATATATAATCCCTTAGTATCACCATCTCATAGACAGGGAAAATGATACATGCTGCATACATTTAATGTATTTGCAGTTAGTGGCTCTATCACTTGACTTAGCCTTTCTGATGCATTGACTTTATCCAAGTATGCTGCAGAAGAGAAAATGAATTTGAAAAGAAAGAACATACGTAAAAAAAGAGAATAAGTCATCATTTAATTATAAATCCTGGTCCAGAAAATATGGCAAAAGAGGTTATTTCAGAATTTGAAGATCTACTTTGTTTCTTCACTCCATTGATCTGGTCCCTTCCTGCTAGTAGGCTGTACATACCAATGTGTGGTTCATACACCATTTAACATACCATCACCTTGTCCTTCAGAGACAGAACAACTGATCTGCTATCTGTAGGATATAAACTCTGATTTCCCCCCAAATCAGGAACATTTGGGGCACAGCCCCCTTACTGTCTTGTTTGCTCCTTCTTGTGGTCTGAGGCACTGTGTTGGTCATAAAGCGATTGTGTCTCAGCTCCACCTCCCGCCACTCTGCTCTGTGTTGCTGGGGCTGGGCCTGAAGACCACCTTTCTCCTTTGCCAGCTGGATCCCATGAAGTTCCACCAATGGAACTGGAAGGCAGGAGGAAGAAAGGGGGACTGATCCTTCCTGTTTATTCATTGTTACCACCTGCATCACTCCAGCATTAGCCCTTCATCTTGTCAGTGGCAGTTTGCTCTAGTTTACAACTTTTTTTCCCATCAGTTAGACCAAAATTTGTCTCATCATTCCCATAAGAGCTGGGAAGGGTCTTTTTTCCTGAGGTCTGAGTATAAGCTCAGTAGGATACTTCTTCCGACCTCTTAAGTTTTAATAACCCCACCTCTTTCATTTTGTTTCGCCAGCCCTATAGGGAGAAGCTACCTTTTCTGTGTGTTATTTTGGTGTTCTCTTCTTGCCTTTTCAGTCCTCCAACGATTTTCTGACTAATTCCTTTTTTTTTTTTTTTCTTTGAGACAGGATTTTGCTCTGTCACCCAGGCTGGAGTGTGGTGGTGTGATCACAGCTCTGTGTAGCCTCGACCTCCTGGGTTTAAGCCATCCTCCCATCTCAGTCTCCCGAGTAGTAGCTGGGACTACAGGTGGGCAATACCACATCTGGCTAATTTTTGTACATTTTGTAGCGATAGGGTCTTGCCATGTTGCCCAGGGTGATTTCAAACTCCTGGGCTCAAGCAACCTGCCTGGTTCAGCCACTCAAAGTTCTCGGATTATAGGCATGCGCCACCATGCCTCATCCAACTAATTCTTTATATCTTTTTTTCCCTGTTAAAATAACTGAGGTAGTTTTTGTTTTCCTGACTGGCCCTTATCAAAATGTGCATCATGTTTAAAATAGCAGGATGGGGCTGATAAGGGCTCACCTTGTGTGAATGACCTCCTTTCCGTTGGTCTCTGATTACCTCCATCCACCTCTGCTTCAACCGAAACAGCTTCTCTTTATATATATATTTGACTTCCATGTAAGATTCTGGTTCCACAGCTCAAAAATATTGGAAAACCGTTGAACTGACCTAATTGGTCCTTACTATCAAGAAGTGACTTAAGTACAGAACTTAGAAAAATTGTAGTCTATAAAACATTATTTCATGGAAATTAAAGAATATTAAGTAGTTAACAAGTCACCAAGACTGGTGAGATTTTCATAATCCAAAGCTATCCTCTCTTGAGTGTCCTCCTAACTGGTTGCAATGTTTCCAGTTTCATGTGCTCGCTTCGGCAGCACATATACTAAAATTGGAACGATACAGAGAAGATTAGCATGGCCCCTGCGCAATGTTTCCAGTTTCTTTCTCTCACCACGTGAAAATCTGGACTATCCCTCAAAGCCCAGCTCTATTGCCGCCTGCTTTAGACAGCCTCCCCTAAGGAGACAAGCCAGTACTCATCTCTCTTTTGTAACTTCATATGACATGGGGTCTATTTACTTCATCAACAGCACTGTTCTTACTCCCCAGTAGGCTTTATAAAAGTCCTTAAGGGCTGGGTGCGGTGGCTTACGCCTGTAATACCAGCACTTTGGGAGGCCAAGGTGGGTGGATCATTTGAGGTCGGGAGTTCAAGACCAACCTGGCCAACACGGTGAAACCTCACCTCTACTAAAAATACAAAAAATTAGCCAGGAGTGGTGGCAGATGCCTGTAGTCCCAGCTACTTGGGAGGCTGAGGTAGGAGAATTGCTTGAACCTGGGAGGCAGATGTTGCAGTGAGCCGAGATCGTACCACTCCACACCAGCCTGGGCGACAGAGTGAGACTCCGACTCAAAAAAAGAGTCCTTAAGCAGGAGAACCAGTCCTATTCATTTGCATTTCATATTGGAGGTGGCACCTGATGCTGTCCAACCAGGCAGCAGAAAGTAGGGAAAAGAGCAAATAATTGGGAATGCAAAGATCTGCATTCGTGTTTGAGGCCTAACTTCATCTAAGCCATCAATTTCATCATCTTTTGTGGAGCACTTTCCTAGGGTTAATCACGTCTTTGAGTCTCAGTTGCATTATCTGTGAAGTGGAGAGAATAAATAATAACCTATCTTAGAGGTTATGTTAGGCTCAAATGAGGTAACAGATGTAAAACTGCTCTATAGCTATTTATTGTTGTGCTCTAAATGTACCTATTGAATTAAATTTTATATGGTCAGTACTCTCAAGGCAATTACATGAAAAGACTTGAGTGTTTTCCCTTAGTCACTTGATCTCTTTAGGGTTTTATGATATTCTGGTTTTGTTGTGTCACTCACAACAATTGTTAAGGGCCTTAAATGTTCTAACCAATGCTGGCTGTTACCCCCACATCATTGGACATGCAGCCAAATGCCCATGATAGGGTCCCTACAAATTATCCATTAGCCTATGGAACTTTGCCAATATCCCATTCAGCCAAAGAGCTCAGGCTTGAATTGATTATACATCCAAGTAGTTATGCAGTAAATGCTCTCGAATGCCGGCATCAGAGAGAGCTGAACAGGAGCCAGTCATCACCTGACTCATCAATGCAGAACGTGGGAATAATGATCAAAGTTGCTGCAGGTCTTGGGTTTTCTCTCCTGTTTCCTCTGCTCTCCCTCAATTCTTTACACAATTATTTTCCACAACATTTTAAGGGGTTTCCACAATAAGATATTATGAACTCTATTTTACAGAAAGGTCTTGGCTGATAATGTTCTCTCTTCCATTTCAAATATTTTTAATGCAAAACAAAAATAATCTGATGTTGCTTTGTGTTGAGGACCACCCACTGAAAGCACTGTAGTTTATATTTCTGGAAATCACCTAGACTTAGGAAGTGGAATCCCTTAATTCATATTCCGTGCAAAGCAGAGCCTGAGACAAGGAGTTGGGTGCAGCTGGTTAGTTTGGGAGGTGATTCTAGAGGCAGGAGTGAGGGAGCCAGGGGTGTGAGTTGGGGAAGAAGAAGTCACCTGCTAGGAGCAATGTGGGGAAGACAATTCTGCTGAGACCTCTTGAGAAACACACAGAATGCTTCCTAGAATTGTCCTCCTGCAAGCCAGTGGCTGTTGCCCCTCATTGAGTGAGGGTTTCCCCACTAAGCTTTACCTCCCCTGCACTTCTAGGCTCAGCTCTTCATGTCCCAGTGAGTAAGCTCTCTGACACAGAGCAGAATGTGGTAAGACACACATCCAAGGTGTAGCGTGAGGTGGGAGAGTTGATTGCACGGAACTGTCTACTACAGCCATGGCTGATATCAGAAGTAAGCCAAGGACGTGTGACAAGAGCACCAGAGGCACCTGCTACATGGGAGTTCTGTTTTTGTGGGTACAGATTATCCTGCTTGTAAAATATTTACATGCAATTGGTACTTGGTAGTTGTTTTCAATGACATCAACAATAGTGTCATCTAAAATTTATTGAGCATTATGTATGCCAGGCTCTGTACTAAGCATTTTAAAAATATTTCTTCTAGTTAACTATGATTATTATTAAAGTAACTACAATTGCATGTAGTTAATTCACAAGTAGAATAATTTTGGCCATTTTTGCCCTTAGTAGTAGTAAAAATACATACATATTATTCATATAAGACAGCTTTCAGCTCTGGATTAAAGAGGAGCCTGACTCTTGCATCAGATTTTATCTTAAAATATCCAAATATGATACTATTTATGATGTTTTATCAGTGGTAGTAGAGTAGAAAGGGTAAAGTTATATCTAGTAAGCCAGGTTATGTACAGAAATCACAGCCTGTTGTGACTGTTACAGATGGGACATGGTTGTGTTGGAGAAAAGTCAAGAATTTTTGCTCTAGGCTACACCTACTTTTTTCCTCAATTTTTTAAAAACGTGAACTTAAAAATATCAAGTCAAGAATGTCCTTGTTTAATAATATGCATTTTAAATTTGCTAATAAGAAGTGTGTTAGATCTGATCATTTTGAACATTTTCCACTTAGCTCTTAACTATAAAATCCCCACAGAGGAAAAATGTTTAAGGGAAGAGCCTTCTGTGCCAGGGACCATGAATTGAACAAAAAGAGCCAGGAAGATTGGGCTGTTCTTATTCAACATTGGAAGCAGTAGTGATGCTTGAGGACACCTGTTCTGTGGAGTAGGCCCCACTGTCATCCAGGCTTATCTTATCATGCAGGTCTGGTCTTTCCTTTCCAGAAAGCTTCACATGTGAACATCAAAGGCCAAAGAACAGTGAAAGAACTGATATCAGTGCTCAAATAATTGTTTTTACACATATATATGTAAATTTCCTCTTGTTGCCTTCCTAATTTGATGGATAACTGATGATAATAAGGCACCAGAATGGGTGTGATTACGTTGTTGATGTGTGATACTGGTAGCAGGAGCACTGTGCTAAGAGGCAAGAGATGCATTTCCACTCCTGGCTTAGCAGGTAACCAGCTGTATGACCTTCAGCAAGTTACTTCCATTTTCCTGACCTCGGCTTTCCCAATGGTAAAATACTGGGGCCAGACCAGCTGAGCTCTAAACTCCCATCTAACTTCACATTCCATGGTTTGTTGTGTACAGTTCAATAGTATTTCTTTTCTTGTCTTGTTTGGGATATGGTTAAACATGGAAGAGAGCAAGGGCAGAGAAACTCTAAAATCACAATGAATTTTAAAGTCAACTAGAAATAGGTTTCATAGCAGATGAGTGTAGATACTTTTGCTTCATGTAGATTATTTTTTGAATATTCATATTTATTTTTAAATTATACTTTAATAAAAAATAGGCTCTTTACTCATGGTTTGTTTGTTTCTTTTTCCTTCCTTCCCAGATTCTTAGTATTTCTGCCTCTCAGTTATTTGTCTTGAAATTCTAGTAAAGTCCTGAAATGGAATGATTTATTGATTTATATCTGTCTCTTTCCAAAAGAACTAGGAGTGGCTTCTTGGTGTGTAGGCGGTGGTGGTATTAAGAGAACTGGCATTGTTACCCTGTTAATCCTTTATCTGACTGCTGGTGCTTTAGGATTTTCTGATACTTCCGCCTGGTGATTTTCCTCATGCTATGTTTATTGCTTATGTTTTTTAACTTCAGAATTCTTCAATTCTGAACTTTTTCTAGATGATGCGTTTTAGAAACATAATGTCTAGGCCTATCAATTGCATTCTACAGACTTAGTTTTTTGTAAAAATAGTTCCAAGTCCCCTATTTAATTTAGGTATAGCTCAATACAGTGACCCAGAAAAAAAAAAAAAAGGACCTTCTTTCCCTCTCCTTACCCGATTTTTAAACAAGTAATTTTAGATGCTAGTAAAATTGAAAAAACATATTTGAAAATGAGTGAGCTCTTTAACACAGGGCAAAATATAGTCGAACAAATGAGAGGCAGCATCATGACACATTATCTATCATAGCAAAAAGTGAAAAACAATGTAAGTGTCCAAAAATAGAGGTGTGATTAAACAAATGAGGGTACATTTGAAAAATTGTTCTGAGTGTATTGTTAGACAAAAGCAGGCTATATAACAGAATTTATAATATAATTTTAAAAATGTAAGACAATGTACAATGCATAGAAGAAAAGCCTGGAAGGATATAGCTGGAGACATTCACAGGGGCTCCATATTAAGAAGGTGGGGAATTAAGACTAATTTTAAATTTTTTTCTTGTTCAGCATCTGAAGTTTCCTAAACTGTCTACAAGAAACATGTATTATTTTGTAACAAGAAACAATACTACAAAAATAAATTTCAGTTGAATGAAATAGTAAATGAACAAATAAGTTAGTTAAAATCTTAGAATAAAATTTAGGAGACTATATTGAAAATGTGGCGACAGGGAGATCATGAAGACAAAGATGGGGAATCCAAAAACTATAAAAGAAAAGATATTTGACTTTATGAGAGCTTGTTTTGTCTGATAATAGATATCAAAAAATGGGCCAAAAACTGTTTTAAAAATATTTGCAATGCATATAGTAAATAAGAGGTTAGTATCTATAATATATACACAACTTCTACAAACACATTAACAAAAGAAACCCAAACAAGTCAGTAAACCAAGCTTGTGGATGGACAGGTCATACAACTGTGAAAGCAAACGCCATACAAAAAGATATTTGTCTTAGTCTGTTTTGTGCTGCTCTAACCACAATAAAAGAGACTGGATAACCTATAAAGAAAAGAAATTTATTTCTCACAGTTCTGCTGTTCTGGAGGCTGAGAAATCCAAGATCAAGGCACCAGCACCTGGTGAGGGCTTTCCTCCGGTGGCAAAAGGAGGCATCGCAAAGAAAGGGGGAGAGAGAGAGACAGAGAGTAAAAGGGGGTGGAATTTTCCCTTTGATTAGGAACTCACTCTTGTGATAATGGCATTAATTCGTCAATGAGGGCAGAGCCCTCATGACCTAATCACCTCCTAAAGGCTCCACCTTACAACTCTGTTGCATTGGAAATTAGGTTTCCAACATATGAACTTTATGACTCACATTCAAATCATAGCAATGTTCTATTTTCCCAGTAGTTAAGCAAATGTAGGTTAAATAAAAATGAAGTATTCAGAATGGCAGAAATCAAAAAGAGTGATAATGCCTAATGCTGTATGGACATAGGAGAAGAAGATCCTCTCAGCATTGCTGGTGGATGTGTAAAATGCTTTAACTTTTTTGGAAAGCAATCTGGCAATATCTAATATCTACTAAAATTTTTTCCAATAATCTGATAGAATAGGACATTATTTTCCTCTTCTAACATTTTTTTCCATGTAAAGAGAGCTCTGTTTGGAGAACAATCCTGACTTCTCTTCATTTCCCTAAGTGAATTATCTGATCGGTAAATTTGAGGATCGGGACTTAGACATGTGTTGCTCAGCCTGTCCTTTCCTACTTCTGGGATCTACTTACCTGCAGAGAGCATGAACGCTGATATTTTCTTGGCCAATAAGCTCAGTGGCTATGGGTCTGCCCCTGTAGCGGGCCTCTGGTTAATTAGCACTGCCTGGGCCTGGGTAGGAGGTGGGTTAGTATGGCTACTGCGGAGATGGGCTCCTCAGATCTCCTTCGAGAAAACTTGCTGTGCAAATTATATCTGGTTGACAGCCTCCAGCCATTAAACATTTACACATGCCACAGCACTCAGGCTGAGACCACCCTGTCTGGACGGGACAATCTTTATTCTGGTACCTTGAGTGATCTGGCTGAGACTTTCTCCGAGCTACCTTCTCCTATCCAGTCCTTCTTTCCCTCTCTCCTTTCCCAGTTGTCAGACTTGCATCACAACCTGAAGACTCTGTCTGCTTACTCCTGTCTGTTTTCATTTTATGCTTCATAAGTATTTCCTCCAATAATCATTTGCCAGTTGCATTCCAACTTGGTGACTGCTTCTCAGAGGACCCAGACACACAACTGGTACCAGGAGTGGTCTGAGGACGAAGGCAGTAGGATGGGTTGGGGGTTGGATAATTCGCTGGTGGCAAGGAGCACCCCACCCCATGAGTATTAGTTTCCTATTGCTGCTGTAACAAATTAGTGGCTTAAAACAGCATGTATTTATTATCTTAAAGTTCTGGAAGACAAAAGTCCAAAATGGGTCTCATTGGGCTAAAATCAAGATGTCAGCAGGGCTGTGTCCCTCTGGAGGCTCTCAGGGAGAATCTGTTTCCTTGCACTTTCCAGCTTCTAGAGGCCAGCGTTCCTTGGTTTATAGACCGTTCTTCAAAGCCAGTAGCATACATCTTCAAATTTCTCCCAGCTCTGACTTTTATCTCCCTTTTTCACTTATAAGGACTCTTGTGATCACACTGGGCCCACCCAGACAGTTCAGAATAGCCTTCCCATCTCAAGACCCTTAGCTTATTCACATCTGCAAAGTCCCATTTGCCATGTAAGTAAACATATTCACAGGTTCTGGTGACTAGGACAGAGACATCTTGTGGGGAAGGAGGGGCATTATTCTACTCTGCCTAATATGCCACGTATTATGTAGACATGGATAATCCCTGATATAAAGTGCAGTTCAATTGCTAAAAATTTAACCAGTGGTGACCTGGGTAGATGGAAATGCCCTTGATGATTCAGATATTTTAAATGCAATGGGGAGGAACAAATGCAGTGATGTTGGCAGTGATGTTAGTTGATGTTTAGAGGTTGTATTAATGCTCTGCAGGGAGATAATGAGAAGCTGAGGGCTATGAGTGAACATCTATAGGCTGAATGTGGGAGCTGGAGAGCCCCTCTGTAAGGCCTCTTTGGGAGTTTAGTAAGAGGCCCTAATCTCCTGCAGTGGAAGCATGGATGTAGCCGAGGAGCAAGTGTAGGACTTAGTAGTTAGAATCCAGGAGCTCCAGAGACCTGTAAATTCTCAACAAGTCAGGTCTGTACTGTTAAGATCAGGGCTCTGGTTGGGAAAGCTTAGGATCCTGAAATATGGGATGGGGACATCTGGGTGGTTGCCTGCAAGGACTGTAGCTGTGTGGACTCTTCTGAACCCACAACACTCTGAGCCCAACCCTCTCGATGAAAAGCTAGCCCTTCCCTCATGTGGGAAGACTGCTGTGGCCTTCCTCCACAAAGCAACAGGTGTTCCTCTAAGGAGCTGCCTCTACTGCCTCTCCTGAATGCCTCTATGATAACTAGGGTTAACTCCCAGCAGAGTTGAGCTAGGAATGTGCTAGGACTGATAAGGGAGGAAAGAGATTACACCTCAAAGGAGCTTCAAAGATTAAATAGCACTTACTGGCAGGAGCCAGGGAGGTACACTGGGGAATAAATTTTGATGAGGCTTAATCAAGGAGGCAGAACATACAACTGGATAAGCAAGAATTCACTGACTTTAGGGAACTTTCTCAGTACATGGGGTTTAACGCCGGCGAGGACCCCAGGGGATGGGGCAAACTTGCTGCTAGGGTCGCTCTTAGAAATCTGGGCTGGGGCCAGTGACCCAGCTGGCTGGTCAGAGGACTGGGGAAAAGGATGGACACTGTTTCTCAAGGACACCACCAGCATCTTGGTAGCAGCTCAGCTACAAAGGGTCACGTCCATCCTGGAAGGGCCAGTGGTTTGACCTCACAGGACAGATACTGATTCTCGGTGTTAGTTTGCCTTTCCTTTCTGCAAAGCCTCAGCCAAAACTCACCCAGGAGCTTGCCAAATGCCTGATCTGCAGGTGTGGAATCCCATACAGCATAGCATCTGACCATGGGACCCACTTCACAGGAGGTAGATCAAAACCAGCTGACTCAGACATATTTCTGCAATGTATTGTTAAGGGCAAAAAGCAAGATCTAGGGAAGTATATATATAGCATGAGCCTATTTTTGAAAATCAGAAAATGACAACCCTACTCCATGTTTGTTTATGTTTGTTTATGATTCTGACAACATGGAAAATGTCATGAAAGGATATGTACTGGCCACTAACCCTGGTTATGTTGGAGTTAGGATGAAGCAGAGGAATGTCTGGTAAAAAAGAGGAATGCTCAATGACAGAGGGAAGGAGGAGGATTTTAAAAAGTCTACATTTTAAAAAATTGCTCAGGATAAAAGAGTATTGTGATATTACTGTACCACTAAAATATAAATAGTGGTTATCTTAAAGTGATGGAATTCCAGAATATGCCAGCCTCTGTCCTCTGTTGCTTTCTGGCAATCACTCAGTCTTATATATGGAATCCTCTGTCCATCAACCACGTTGGTATTCAGTGTTTTAATCTGAAAGAAGAGAACCAAACCAAGCCTCCTGTGATATGCAAAGGCAGTGGTAGAGTTACAAGATTTCTAGACACACACACACACACACATACACACACACACACTTTTATATATAACAGTATATATGTATATATATATTTCAGTACAGCATAAAAAGTATCAACTTTGTACAACATGTCAGATAGGTTGCAAAGTGCTGGTGACACCAAGATGAATAAGACACAGTTTTACAGTATAAAGGGGGAATCAAAGCTATTTAATCTGTTAGATAGCAACAGATTAATTGAGTACCGTATGGAAGTGTTAGAAGCGTATTGACAGGGTAGTCTGGGGTCTCAGGGTGTGGGAAGGGGGTCACATAGCACAACCCAGGCTTGGGAAGGGTAAATGATACCCAATACCCCTCCAGCACCACATCAAGAAATGCCCATTTTCATTGCCTTAAGGACATGCAGTACAATCTTAGGTATTTTAAGAAAGACAGCACTTAAAATAAAGATTGAAAGGAAATATGTCAAAATCTGGACAGTGGTGATGAAGCTATTCCTTTCTATATATTCCTAATTTGTTCCAATAAGTGTGTGATGGGAGATTTTTATTTTATTTTGGTTGGATTATATCAGCTCAGGATGTTAAAACCTGCATCTTGCACAAATGAAATGCTCTCTACTGAATCAAAATGGATAAACAAAATTACTTAATGTAGGCAACATGGTAGCTCAAATCTCTAAAACCATAAAGTTCATGATAGAAGACCAGTGAAAGGTGTCTGTAGTAGTGAAAACTTTGGAAGCCACCAAACAATGAACCCGAAGATATTTTCTGGCTCTGGGGTTCTGTAATGAAAGTCCCTGAGGGTTTTCCTCTATATGTGCTCCTTTGACATAATCTCTTCTAAGAAAAGATGTGTGGTTAATTAGGTAGTTACCCATCGATAATCGCACCACCAGGTTTTCATGCCTTTGTAGATTCTTCACAAGCAATGGAAGCCCATACAGTAATCTTCACTCTTTCCTAGAGTAACCCTAAGAAATCAGCATTTTATATATCTGGAAATGGAAATCCAGGGGTCAAATGATTTGCTCAGAAAGTTTCTGAGTTAAGACTAGGTATTAAAATTTTTAGAGTCTCCTTCATCCATAAGCCTTGGAAATAGCTTCAGAGTTGTTGATGAGAATCATTTTTTTTTTTTTTTTTTTGCTGCTGCTGTTTCAAATACAGCTGGCTTCTCCTCTGGGCCCTGGTCTTACCATCCCGTGCCTGGCCCCTACCCTGCCTACTGCCCTGCATACTGCATGGTGCCTACTGCCTCCACCGCAAAACTCATCACACCCTACGAAAATTACATAATGTCTGCCTTTCCCATAAACCATACAATCTTTTCTTTGCTAGGTCTAAGACAGTGCCTGACACAAGTACAATCGTAATTAAGTAATTCATATATAAAATAATAAATATGTGTCTTTGGGTCACATAATGGCTAATTAAACACATCAAATGCTAACGATTTGTCAAGCACAGCTCTAAGCATTTTACACGTAGTAACTCATTTAACTCTCCCAACAACCAAAGGCAGTAGGTACTATTATTACTCTCATTTACACACAAGGAAATAAGGAACGGAGAGGTAAATTAACTTGCCAGGTTACACAGCTAGTAAATGGTAGAATTGAGCCTTGAACCCAGTCAGTCCGATTGCGCAGTCTGTGGTCTTAACCATGTTTAAGTCATCTAACCTCTCTATTCCTTAAATTTTCTAACAGAAAAATGGAGGTAATAATACCTACTGACTGGATTGTTGGAAGAATTTTTAAAATAATTTTTTTTAAAGAGAGTACGCACAAAGCTTTGTGCACATCAGGCATTATAATTACTTTTGTTATCAGTACCATCATTAATACCTTATCATTAATATAGTTAATTGTTAAATATAACTTTTCTACCAAAAAATAAAATACAATTATAAAAATATATTGATGAATACTTGATCCATCAAGTGAAATAAGAGCTGTGGCTTTCTTGATCTTAACTTTTTAAGATTTTCTGAATGACTTTGGGAAGATAAATTTTTGTCATTTTGTTGGGTTTTACTCATCACATCCCTCCAGTGGCATCTGCTGCCTGCCCAGCTCTATTCATCAATTATTGAACTTGTTATTACTCAGGCAATTCTCCTAGAGCACTGGGTGGTAACCGAGCAAGGGGATTGCCAAATCACTCTCAGCTGAGAAGGGATAGAGTCTCCCCCTAGTGTTGATCTTTGTGCGGAAGAATCCAAACCCAGCTTCAAGCTCTTCATGGGGCTTTTTGGTTTAGTCTGATTCTCATGACTGCAATGTGACTTTTGAAGCTAAGATTTCAAGAGTTCTGATTCTTCAGGACTTCAGCAGCAGAAATGGGGATTTATCTAGCATATTTAGTGTTTCGTATAAACCATGAATGAATATAGCTGTATATTCACACGTGTTCTGACCACTTTTCTTTTAATCATTCAGTTTTAAGATGCTGAACCCTTTAACAGTTCAGGATTAATAGTAATTACTCTACAATCCAGTACAGGGCTGACTTGAGCCACACTGGAAAGAAAGTAAGTAGAGAAAGTAAGTTTAGAATGGGTACTTCCTAAGTGACAAGTATCTTTATCCTCTGTTTCATTCACCTAGTAAGTTTTAAGGTAGGCATTAGTCTACCCACAGATATAGGGACTGAAGCTCGGAGAGCTTAAGAGGCTTGCCCAATTATTACACATTGAATACATCATAAATGTAGTTTTCAAGCCCAGTGCCAAGACCAGCCCTCTGTCCTTCGTACTTTGTTCCTCAACCTGCTGCCCTTGGCTTCTCAGGGCCCCCAACGGTTCCAGCCTCCACTGAGTGAAAGTTGACATCTCATGTTTCTCTGAATTTTGTCTTCCTTCACTTAAATTACCAGTCCTAGTAGCCAGAGGCTTTGAGGCTCTGTTCTTTGATAGTTAAACTAATAAATTGCCAATGTTACTAATCGTGGATACTTTGGCTTATAGATACTATTCTTAGAAAGTGTCTTCATCCAAGGACCTCTTCAAGGAGAACTGCTCAACGAAATAAAAGAGGACACAAACAAATGGAAGAACATTCCATGCTCATGGATAGGAAGAATCAGTATCATGAAAATGGTCATACTGCCCAAGGTAATTTGTAGATTCAATGCCATCCCCATCAGACTACCAATGACTTTCTTCACAGAATTGGAAAAAACTACTTTAAAGTTCATATGGAACCAAAAAAGAGCCTGCATTGCCAAGAAAATGCTAAGCCAAAAGAACAAAGTTGGAGGCATCACGCTACCTGACTTCAAACTCTACTACAAGGCTACAGTAATCAAAACAGCATGGTACTGGTACCAAAACAGACAGATAAACCAATGGAACAGAACAGAGTCCTCAGAAATAACACCACACATCTACAACCATCTGATCTTTGACAAACCTGACAAAAACAAGAAATGGAGAAAGGATTCCCTATTTAATAAATGGTGCTGGGAAAACTGGCTAGCCATATGTAGAAGGCTGAAACTGGATCCCTTCCTTACACCTTATATAAAAATTAATTCAAGATGGATTAAAGACTTAAATGTTAGACCTAAAACCATAAAAACCCTAGAAGAAAACCTAGGCAATACCATTCAGGACAATGGCAACAAAAGCCAAAATAGACAAATGGGATCTAATTAAACTAAAGAGCTTCTGCACAGCAAAAGAAACTACCATCAGAGTGAATAGGCAACCTACAGAATGGGAGAAAATTTTTGCAATCTACCCATCTGACAAAGGGCTAATATCCAGAATGTACAAAGAAGTTAAACAAATTTACAAGAAAAAAACAACCCCATCAAAAAGTGGGCAAAGGATATGAATAGACACTTCTCAAAAGAAGACATTTATGCAGCCAACAAACACATGAAAAAATGCTCATAATTACTGGTCATCAGAGAAATGCAAATCAAAACCACAATGAGATACCATCTCATGCCAGTTAGAATGGCAATCATTAAAAAGTCAGGAAACAACAGAGGCTGGAGAGGATGTGGAGAAATAGGAATGCTTTCACACTATTGGTGGGAGTGTAAACTAGTCCAACCATTGTGGAAGACAGTGTGGCAATTCCTCAAGGACCTAGAACTAGAAATACCATTTGACCCGGTGATCCCATTATTGGGTATATACCCAAAGGATTATAAATCATGCTACTATAAAGACACATGTACATGTATGTTTATAGCGGCACTATTCACAATAGCAAAGACTTGGAACCAACCCAAATGTCCATCAATGATAGACTGGATTAAGAAAATGTGGCACATATACACCATGGAATACCATGCAACCATAAAAAAGGATGAGTTCAGGTCCTTTGCAGGGATATGGATGAAGCTGGAAACCATCATTCTGAGCAAACTATCACAAGGCCAGAAAACCAAACACCGCATGTTCTCACTCATAGGTGGGAATTGAACGATGAGAACACTTGGACACAGGGCAGGGAACATCACTCAGGGGGGCCTGTCGTGGGGTCGGGGTCGGGGGAGGGATAGCATCAGGAGATACCTAATGTAAATGATGAGTTAATGGGTGCAGCACACCAACATGGCACATGTATACATATGTGACAAATCTGCATGTTGTGCACACGTACCCTAGAACTTAAAGTATAATAATTTTTTTAAAAGTCATCCAAATCAGAAACAAAAAGAAAGTATCTTCATCCAAAAGAGTGGTACCATAGATAGAATTGTAGGAAACTAGAGCTTGATGGGGCATTATTTAAAACATCCATATTTTAAATATAGCAACTTTAGTATTTCGAGATAAAATCTTTCAAAACCTGGGTTTGCAATGGCAAAATAATCAAAGTGATGCTTGCTGGTGAAAGGGGGGCCTCTTGTTATATCTTAAATCACATCTTTTTCATTCTATATATGGGGCCTGCTGGGTGAGGAATTTATGATGGGCCCTATGTATTATCTTATATTCTCCTAGCAATTTAGTATTTAATTGGAAGTCAGGGAATAAGAAGAGAGAGGAGGGGAGATGCTGTTTGGCAATTGGCCAGTTCTTTGAGCAAGTTTTGGTTTTTGTGGCTCTATAGTCATTTCAGTGAACAAAGTGTTCCATTCATATAGCCTGGGCTGGTTATAAGCTGGCATTGAGTGATGGCCAATTACAAATTATTCACATTTGGATCGATATCCCAGACATGAGCTCATTAACCCCAAATCCTATTATCTCACACATGTGAAGCAGAATGTTTTTAATGTGCTGACATTTTCACTGTCTACAAACCTGAGTTCTGGTGTAGTAAAAAGCCTCAACAGAAATAAGCAGAAATAAGCAGCTGTGTTGATATCTACACAATCAGTGAAATGACAGGTGCAGATTAATAGAGGTCTGCTTGTGTCACTTAGGGTTCAGCTTGAGAGTTGATGACCTTGGTGGATTTCCTACAGTTACTCATCTTATTTCCCATCTCCTTGGGAATCTAGCTTTTCTTGGCATTTAGAAACCTCTCTTCTTTCAATATCTTTAGATTATAATTCCCTGTCTTCAGGCAGTTTCTTTATTTTCCAAGACACTGGTTTTTAGGCCTGTTGGTGCTACAGCTTTTATCTACTTTAATCTTCTTTGTGTCTCTCCATAAGAATTTTAATTAATGGGCAGACTTTCTCTATAGATGGAATGCTCATACCTCCTAAAGATATACCATCACAGCTATTAGGATCATTTATTCACATGCTATCCCATTTCCTATCTCTGCAGGGGCAGGCAAATTTTTCATCACATCATTATTTTTACAGCTAATGAATTCAACCCCAAATTAACTCTGAGTTACATGGCTGCATTTCACACTTGTTTTGCTTAGGGGGTCCTCTTTGAGGGTGGCTGCCTGAGTATTCCTTTTCTGGTCTTCAAGTAAAGGGGAAAAGCTTTGACTGCTTATTTTACTAAAATACTTTAAAAAATAAATCGGTCTTCTTCCTGTCTGACTCACGATGGCATCTTAGTGGTTAAAAATTTAAATTTTGATTTCACAACATTTATTATTACATTATTATGCTTTCCCATCTTTGAAATGGGAAGGGGGAGAGAGAATATCTACCCTGCGTACTCACACAACTATTATGAGTATTAAATGTGTTTGCAAAGTGTAAAATGCTGTACAAAAATATGCACATGCATGTATCAGTGGCTCTTGGGGGTGCTTTTGTCCCACAGGGGGCATTTGGCAATGTCCGGAGACATTTTGGGGTGTCGAAACTTATGTGGGGGAAGGGAGAGGTGCTACTGGCTGGCTTAATAATGCTGCTAAGGTTAATAGTACTGCTAAGCTTCCTATAATGTACAGGAGAGCCCTCCTCAACAAAAAAATATCCAGCCCCAAATGTTAATAATGCCAAGGTTAAGAAACTCTGAATAAAAAGACTATGATATAAAAAGCAGAAATTGAGTCTAATTCAATAATCATCTTTCCTGCCTCTCTTCCATGTCCAATTGTTAGTTACACACTTTCCTAACTGATCTCTCTCTATCGTGGGCAAGCTGAATGAGGTAATAAAATACTAGTTGAAAGTGCCAGTCTCTCTACAGGTCATTAAATAGCAAAGGCAATTTTGATAAACACTATTTCTAACCTTTCTTATTAGCTAACAAGCATCATGTGGATAATTTTCAGTTGTTGGAAGAATCAGGGCGAGCAGTTATCCTCTTTTTATTTCCATGCTTGAGTTTATCTTTAGTACAGTATCTACTCATTAAAGAACAGAATCCTAGAGACAAAGGTTGTTGCTAGAGATGATCTGTTTCACCTTCCGTAGGTCAATGATTAAGTCATCAAAGACAGCTGGTGCCTAATCTCGTCTCCCATTAATTGCTGTTCTAATAGCAATAATAGCCAGCATCTATTGAGTATTTTATAGGGTTCAGACATTTTATAATACCTTATTTTGTCTTCATAACAACCCTGAAAATAGTTATATCATGCTAGTCAAAATCATTTTTAGAACGCTTAGAAAAAATTGTAGAAATATAATTTTCTGCATTTAAAGATCTCTTCTTTTTTTCCCATTCTCCTAACATGGTCAATAAATAAATATTTATGCAGCCATTTGTATTTGCAAAGCTCTTTGGGAATTCAATGACATTCCTATGAGAAACATATGCTTTAGCTTGGACACTGCAGCCCAATCTTTCTAAATACTATATAAACAGTAAATGGTCTACATGTCCACCAATAAAGTAATGGTTATATAAATTACAAAATAGATCTTTACATATTGACACAGATAGGTGATTTCCATATATTAATAGGCTGTTTGTGAACAGTATGTGTAGTTTTTATGTTGAAAATATATCTACACATTCTTTTATTATTATTATTATACTTTAAGTTTTAGGGTACATGTGCACAATGTGCAGGTTTGTTACATATGTATACATGTGCTATGTTGGTATGCTGCACCCATTAACTCGTCATTTAGCATTAGGTATATCTCCTAATGCTATCCCTCCCCGCTCCCCCCACCCCGTAACAGTCCCCGGAGTGTGATGTTCCCCTTCCTGTGTCCATGTGTTCTCATTGTTCAATTCCCACCTATGAGTGAGAACATGCGGTGTTTGGTTTTTTGTCCTTGCGATAGTTTGCTGAGAATGATGGTTTCCAGTTTCATCCATGTCCCTACCAAGGACATGAACTCATCATTTTTTATGGCTGCATAGTATTCCATGGTGTATATGTGCCACATTTTCTTAATCCACTCTATCGTTGTTGGACATTTGGGTTGGTTCCAAGTCTTTGCTATTGTGAATAGTGCCGCAATAAACATACGTGTGCATGTGTCTTTACAGCAGCATGATTTATAATCCTTTGGGTATATTCTACACATTCTTAAATAGGCAAATTATTATGTGGAAGGAGATTTGCCAAATTATGAACCATGGTTATCTTTGGGGTTAAGATTACAAATATTGTCATTCTCTACATAATTTATCCTATAACAATCACATATCATTCTAAAGCAGGGGTCCCCAACCTCCAGGCTGCAGACCTGTACTGGCGGTGTCATTAGATTCTGGTAGGAGTGTGAACCCTACTGTGAACTGTGCATGTGAGGGATCCAGGTTGCATGCTCCTTGTGAGAATCCAACAAATGCCTAATTATCTGAGGTAGAACAGTTTCACCCAGAAACTATCCCCGCTCTGCCTGGTCCACAGAAAAATTGTCTTCCACGAAACCAGTTCCTTGTGCCAAAAACATTGGGGACTGCTGTTCTTAAGAGCAATGAAGATATTTCTATTTAAAAACATAAAATAGGAAATTAATAGTAGTAGCTCAAGACAGCTATGCAAAATACAATTTATCACAGAGTAGCCATAATAAACTAAATACTAGCTAATGTTAATTGAATGCTTATACTGTACCAGGTATGGTTCTAAACATTTTACATAGAGGAACTCGTTTAATCATCACAACAATGCTATGAGATTAGTCCAATTTTTATTTTTATTTTACAAATGGGGAAACTGAGGTGCAGAAAACTAAGTTGCCCAAAATCACAGAGCTAGTATTTGATTGTGTCAGGACTTGAACCCAGGCAATTCATCTCTAGAGCCATTAAGTTGAATCTTCATCTGGACATGCCAAATGCATGGCTCCAATGAGTACTCCAGGCATTTGGAGGGAGTTGGGGTCACTCTAGGTTCTCCCTGCGGGTAATCGCCAGGTTTGTACCAAACTTTAAGCCCCTGCAGGGCAGGCACAGTGTCTGGGTCACCTTTATTTTGCCCTTAGCACCTTGAATAGAGTTCTCCACTGATAGCCAGCAGGACTTTAACAAATGCTTGTTGTATTTAAAGTTTAAAAAGTGTGCTAAAGTTGATCCATTTTCTGGGTGAGTCAACATTTAAATTAGAATCCATGTCTTTTCCATTTCGTAGACAAACTCTTCAAGTGGAAAAATATTTTGGCTATTTCGTGTATGGTCAGAAGTGAGAGGGTAAAAGCAGAAGGTGTTCATTTTGTTGGTTGTTTGATATATATTCTTGAACACCTGCCGCATGCAGGCACTGTTCTGGGGACACCACAAGACACACAGTGTCTGATTTCATACAGTTTACATCTCAGCAGTAAAAGTTGTCAGAAACAAATTGGGAAAATACTGGGTACACAGATAGTGCTCGGCCCTTAGGGATATCACAAACTGGGTAGGAAGAGTTGTGTGAAATGTATATTTTGTAATAAATTAAAGTATTACTTTAATAGATAACTGGAAGAAAAAAGTTCTAATGTCAGACAAGTCGCTGGTGCTGTATTATTAAAACAAGGAAATTAAACTTAATGGCACCAGAGGGAAAATGGTAAAAATGATTTTCTGGTCACATGTTATTAACCATAATAAACTAAATAGAAAAATGGTAAGTGGGGAAAGGGCTAGGTTATTCATACCCTCAAGGCATGCACAGTTAGAAGATGAAAGTAGCTTCCTATTTCCAGCTTAACTCTTTCCTGGGCTTTATATAACATCCCAAAATGTATTCTGGCTTTGGTATTCCTATGAGGTATAATATCCACCTTAAATGATTCTTGTTACAAGCCTCAGAGTTACTTTATTTGTCCTTGGAGACAGAAAATAAGCTTTTACCTCTCTTCTGGATTCATTTTCAAAAATGATTCTTGGAAATGAGTTTTCCTTAGACACATTTATATATAATGACAGGCTAATATCTTACACACCATTACTGTATGTAATAACAGTGTGACAAAACTGACAAGAACTAGGCTATAGATGTAAGGCAATTAGCTGTGAAGGGAGAGTTATCCAGCAGGAAGGATGGGCATCATCATGCTGTGTCGTGACTTAATGATTACTAAGTGATAAATGTGGATATCTCCTGAGGCAAAACTTCAAATAAGTGAAATTTGTTCTTATGGCCCCACTTTTCTTTTTTGGCATACACTTTCTTGCTTCTGAGTCCTTCTTGTCATGGAGAAAAGTCCCAGCCCAGAGACTAAATCTTAGTAGGTGATCAATATCTCTTATTAAATTGGTATATGAGTGGATGGGTAGATGGGTGGGTGAATGGGTAGGTGGAGAGCAGATGGATGGGTGGGTAGGTGCATGGATAGATGGATGAATGGGTGGGTGAATGGGTGGGTGAATGAATGAGTAGATGGATGGATAAATGAACATGTGGGTGGGTGGGTGGATGGATGGATTGATGGAAGGGTGGCTGGGTGGGTGGATAGGTGAATGGATGGGTAGAAGAATGGGTGGGTGGATGGATGGAAGGATGGATAGATGGATGGATGGATAGATGAATGGGTGGGTAGATGGATGAATGGATGGGTGGATGGATAGGTGGGTGGATGGATGGGTGAATGAATGGGTGGATGGATGGATGGATGGATGGATGGATGGATGGATGGATGGATAGATGAATGGATGAATGGATGGGTGGGTGGATGGATGGACAGATGGGTGGGTGGATGGATGATTGGGTGGATGCATGGATGGATAGATGGATTGGTGGAGGGATGAGTGTGTCAATGGATGGATGGGTGGATAGGTGGATGGATGAATGGGTAGATGAGTGGATGGATAACTCATTCACCAAAAAATATAAGGAGTTGATCATATGACCCATCCACATTTCCAACAGTGCTTATCTCAAGGGTGAAGTGTTAATGATGGAATTTTGGGGATCAGTGAAGAGGTGTTTTTAGACAGAAAGGACTTCTTTCTGGTACTCTTTGGCTTTTTGGGCTTAGCTCTTTGAGGCTATGCTGTAAAATAAAGATAGATGATACCAATCTTTTAAGGCCATTATGAGGATTAAAGACAATATTTGCAAAATGTCCAGCCATATCCTGCACATAGTAGGTGGTAAATAATAATAACTCTTAGCTCTTGTCATAATTTCCTTTCAAGTCATGTTGTCATTTCCAAGCATAACCCATCATTTACCCCTTGATATACCTACAGGGAACAACCCAATGCCTACCTAATAAACTTCTTCTCATCCTTTAAGGCCCAGCCTAATATCCCATTAATAGACAAGCCTTCCCAAATCCCACTTCCATACCAGGCAAATATAGTCTATCCTCTCTCTACTTCCATTATTCATATAATAACTATGTAAAATAGGTATTATTATTCCCAGATGCTGGGACAAGAATGAGGCAAGCAAGTTACCTAGGGTACAAAATTTAAGGAGGCACTTACACTCAGGGTTGTGCACGAGTCTCCCATACCTCTCCCTAGGCCTGGTGCTGATTAGTTCCTCTTGATTGAAGAGGAAGCCCAATTTCAAGCAGATGAAGTGTCTTCCTGGTAGGTGGCAGCAGGGACAAAGCCAATATTCTTATTTTATTACACACAAGTTCCTAGAGCAGAGCCTGGTACCCAATTGATGCTCAATAATTTGTCAAATAAATAAACTGAAGCTGTAGGGTAGGTAGCAATTTGGCCTGATATTTGATGTAGTAGTAATGATGATAATGATGATGATGATGATGATGATAAAAATCCAGTCTTTACTACATGTGTACTGTGTGCTAGGCACTCTGCTAAATGCTTTGCTTACAAGTTTTCTCACAATTCCATGGGTAAGGCATGGTTTATTAAAATTTTCATTCTGTATGAAAAAAACGAGGCTCAAAGAAGTTAACCCCTTTGCCTGAGGTCACAGAGTTAGTATGTTTTCATTAAACATATGATATAAATGAGAGTAGCCCGACTCAGGCACCCTTCAATTTGATTTTATCACTTTCACTTTAAAATACTAATTGAAGGCTTTCTTTCCCTCAGAATAAGCAAAGGCTAGTGACCCATCTTAGTGTTAGTGCTGAATTTTTCAAAGGTCTAAAGGTGTTTCCAAACACCTCTCTAACAAGGACAGAACTCTCCTCTGCCAACAGGACCGATGTAAGAATAAGACATTTAGAAGGCATCCAAGCTGAAGAAGACAAACTAAGGATAGCAGACATGCCAACCCCACTCTTGTGAAGTGTGTTTACTCATCTGTTATGAGCTCACTCTAATGCAACTTTACTTTTGGTGTAATAAATTGTATTAACTTTATGCTTGAGTGAGTTATCTCTCAAAATAGAAAAATGTGTATTTCCAGGAGTCTTCTTTCATTTACACATGGAAGTCTACGGGAGTTTAAAAAATGGATTTTAAGAGCTCCAGTGATGGCTAAGAAATTGCTATTTCAGTCTTGAAAATTGCCTTTTCTACCAGAAACACTGAGCAAGGCAATCAGACCATCTGATCTTGCTGGATTGGAAAAAATTACTCAGGCACTGAGATGGCCTCTAAAATTTGATCCCCTTCCCCCTTGACAATAATGATAAAAATTAAAACTTGGGCTCCCTTATCAGAATACTTAAATAGGATAACACAGAAAGCCAACTTGTATCTTTTTTTTTTTTTTAAGAAAGAAGGCATCTAAACATTCTAAGTCCTTTTTTTCTCTGTTGTGTTACAATTCAGGTAACTCAGCTAAGTACTGTGGTGAAAATGGGAACCTAAGTAAACTCCAGATTTTAGTATTAACTTTTTCTGTGTAAAGAGCTTAATCTCCCACTTTTAATAGGTCGAAGTTATTGTATTAGGTTTGATGACAAACAGATGTAATGATTTAGCTATATCCCTATAATCCGGATAGTCTAAGTCCTCATAGTAATCCCTGATCATTCTTTCCTTTAGTAGCCACATGTAATTCATTGAACTCTCGTTTACTCATAACTGTGGAAAGTTAAAGGTACTTCCCAAATTCTCCTCAGTATGGGAAAAAGTGCTTGTATGCTCCTGGTGGTTGCCTTTCACCCTTAATTACAAATACCTGCTGTCAACATAATCTTGATCACCTCTTGCTTGTGAGCTACTGGCCTCTTTATTTTTTTAACTTTTAAAAACTTTCTTTATGTAGAAATACAAGTCTAGAAATACTGGCCTCTTTTTACTGCTGCATCCCAAACATGTTCTTCTTTCCTCCTTTGCAAAAGCCCCTCTATCAATGCTATAGAATGTAATGAACTTTTACTGAAAGTTAGAGACCAATTGGGAAATTATAGCATAGACCAGGAAGCTATCTAAAAATGAATATTAGAATTTCTGGCATCCAACTAGGATGTAGAAACCATGAGAGTGTTGCATTCGCCCTAAAAATAAAACCTTAGGTAATCGGCCGGGCGCAGTGGCTCACGCCTGTAATATCAGCACTTTGGGAGGCCAAAGCAGGCGGATCCCAAGGTCAGGAGGTCGAGACCATGCTGGCTAACACGGTGAAACCCCGTCTCTACTAAAAATAAGAAAAAAAAAAAAATGTAGCCAGGCGTGGTGCCGCGCGCCTGTAGTCCCAGCTACTCGGGAGGCTGAGGCAGGAGAATGGCGTGAACCCGGGAGGCGGAGCTTGCAGTGAGCTGAGATCGCACCACTGGACTCCTGCCTGGGCGACAGAGCGAGACTCTGGGAAAAAAAAAACAAAACAAAACAAAAAAAAAAAAAACACCTTAGGTAATCAACAAAATTATCTATTTTCTTGACTCTAGGAGAAAATTGAATTCACAAAGAAAACTACTAGCCTGAAGTCTTAAAGAAAGGCAGGGTGGGCCACTCTGGCAGAGTTCAGGAAAAAGCTGTATATAGCAGAAAAAGCTGGTATAGCAGATAAGAAGTTCGGTAAAACATGTTAACGAATTGCTAAAGTTTAGGGGTGGACCAGTTGGA
Organism: Homo sapiens; assembly: GCF_000001405.40. Classification (NCBI taxonomy): domain Eukaryota; kingdom Metazoa; phylum Chordata; class Mammalia; order Primates; family Hominidae; genus Homo; species Homo sapiens. The sequence goes on along the minus strand of NC_000012.12, from coordinate 45,532,480 downwards.
GAATACAGAACACCTAGGTGCCAAACAAACAAAGAGGCTCTTCTTTGCTAATATTCACAAGAAAGATTAAGGGAGGCTTGGGAGCCTAGAGAAAGCCTGTTGTCAGTGACACAGGCTTGAAGAAGGCAGCAGCTACTGCTGTGAGAAAGCCGCGAAGCTCTGTCTGTATCTTTTTCTCTTTGAGGAATGAAGGCGTAAGACAGTGAAGAAACAGCAGCAAACCCTGAAATCCCCAAAGCATTGTGAATACCCATGTGGCTGAAGGTAAAAGAAAAATACCGTCTATGTCAGGGGGAAGGGCAATAAACCATTTGGGTTTCTTATGCCTTTTATGACAGGGTGTGAGGTAGGATCTTTAAGAAAGCTTTTCCTCTGAGACCAAGGGACACAGATTCTGCCTAAGCTGAGGCTGGACAAAGACAACAAACAAACCCCCTACTCCTCCCCTCATTTGCAGAGTAACAAGAAAGAGCATTCTTTTTTCTGGAGAAAAAGTAAATCGTTTCTACTGGACAGGGAATAAAACAACTATGGTTAATTTGTTAAAAGTTCTTTTGGAGAAGTTATACAGATATGTACAAACAGATGAGAGATATCACTGAAGGCATGGAAACTATAAGAAATAGTCAAATGAAAATGCTATGGGGAAAAACAAAGTTGCAGAAATAAAGAATGCCTTTGATAGGCTCATCAGTAGACTCAACACATCTGAGGAAAGCATTAGTGAATTTGAAGATAGATCAATAGAAATTACTCAAACTGAAAAACAAAGAAAAAAGAGTGGTGGGGAAGGAGAAAACAACCAGAAATGAGCATACAAGAGCTTAAGAACATATCAAACAATCAAACACAAAACATGTGTTTTTGAAATCTTAGGAGAAAAAAGTAAGAATGAGGCAGAAGAAATATTTGAAGAGATAATGGCCAAGAATTTTCCAGCAATAATAAAAAAAAATCAAACAAACAAGGTCGGAGAACACCAAGAAAGATAAATCTACAGCTAGACCATCATAGTCAAGTGAATAAAAATCAAAGATGAAGAGAGAATCTAAAAGGCAGCCAGAAAAATAAAACACATCACATACAGAGGAACAAAAATAAAAATTAAGCGGACTTCTTGTCAGAAACCATACAAACCAGAAGGCAATGGTCTCTTTAAAGTGCTAAAAGAAAAAAAAAGTCGACTTAAAATTCAGTGAAAAGATCTATCAAAAGGGAAGACAAAATAAAAACTTTTTTTGAAAAATAAAAACAGAATTCATTATCAACAAACCTGCACTACAAAAAATGTTAAAGGAAAGAATCTGATAGTAATTGGAACTGACACAAAGAAATGAAGATCTCTGAAAACAGTTAAAATGAAAAAGTATTCTTTTCTCTTATTTTAAATTACTCTGAAAGGTAAGCGATTGTCTAAAAAGAAGTAGCAATGTAGCTTGGTTTACAAGTGTATGTAGGCCGGGTGTGGTCGCTCACACCTGTAGTCCCAGCATTTTGGGAGGCTGAGGCAGGCGAATCACCTGAGGTCAGGAGTTCAAGACCAGCCCAGCCAACATGGTGAAACCCCTTTTCTACTAAAAATACAAAAATTAGCCGGGTGTGGTAGTGCACATCGGTAGTCCCAGCTACTCAGGCGGCTGAGGCAGGAGAATCGCTTGAACCTGGGAGGTGGAGGTTGCAGTGAGCCAAGATTATGCCGTTGCACTCCAGCCTGGATGACAGAGCAAGACTCTATCTCAAAAGAAAAAAAAAAAGTGTATGTAAAAGTAAGACGTGAAACTAATAGCACAAAGATGGGAGGGAGAAATTGAGAATACAGTATTGTAAGTTTAGGTCCTTACACTAAACACGAAGCAACAGAATATTATTTGAAGATATATTTTGTAAAACCTAGAGTAATTACTAAAAAATTAAGAAAAGGTATAAAAAAATCCAATTGTGAAAAAAATTGAATTTTTAGAAGTAAGATTAGAATGCTGGTTACCAGAGTTGTTGGAGTGGGGGGTGAAGATGGGGAGATTAAGAATGAAGAGAAGTCGACCAAAGGGTATAAAGTTCAAATTAGGCAGGAGGAATAAAAGTTTTTAAGATCTATCATGTAGCAAAATGACCATAGTTAATAGTAATGTAATGTATACTTCAAAATTGCCAAAAGAATAGCAATGTTAGATGTTCTTGCTACAGAAAAAAAAGCTAAGTATGTGAAGTGATGGATGTGTTGATTGGCTTGATATCATTATTCGGCCATATATACATATATCTAACACATTGTACTCCATAAATATGTAATTATTATTTTTCAAATAGAAATAATTTCAATAAATTCAATTGTGGAGATATAAGGCAGGAAGAAAAAAAGCAGGCATAACACATAAAAGAAACAAAAAAAAACCAGATGAATACATAGAAAACACCTAGCAAGATAGGCTGTAGCACAATCTTATCAATAATTATATTAAGCATAAATAGTCTAAATGTACCAATTAAAAAACAGAGATTGGAAGAATGGATTTTGAAAGATGATCCAAATGTTTATAAGAAACTTATTTCAATAATAATGACCTAGGTAGGATGAGAGTAAATGAATGGAAAAATATATTCCATGCAAACACGAACAAAGAGAAAGCTGGAGTGGTCATTTTAATATCAGACAAAGTAAAATTCAGAACATGAGCTATCATAAAGCATAAAAGAAGGACATTACCTGATGATAAGAAGTGAATTCACTATGAATACACAAAAATCCTAAAAGTGGATGAGCCTAACAACAGAGCTTAAAAACTGATAGAACTGAAAGAAGAAATAGACAAATTCACAATTAAGTTGGAGGTTTCAACACTCCTCTTTCAAGAATTGATAAAGTGGCAGAAAATCATTAAGGATTTAGAACACCTGAAGAACTCTATCAACCCACTTGACCTAATTCACATTTATAGTACACAAAACTCAACAATGGCAGAATATATATTTTTTAATTGAACATAGAATATTCACCAAGGTAGACCATGTTCTGGCCCATAAAACAAACCTCAACAAATTTAAAATAATTAGGATCATGCAAGGTAGCTTCTCTGATCATGATAAAATTGGATGAGAAGTCAATAACAGAAAAATATCTGGAAAATCCCCAAATATTTGGAAATGAAACAACACAACTCTAAAGAATCCATGGGTCAGAGAAGAAGTCATAAGGAAAATTAGAAAATGTTTTTAATAAAATGAAAATGAAAATAGAGTATATAAAAATTTGTAGAGAACAATGAAAACTGTAGGTAAAGGGAAATGTATAGGATGTAATTAGCAATAGAAACACTTTTCTTATTTTTCTTTCCTTATCACATTGGTCACAACCTCCAATACTGTATTGAACAGTGTGGATAACAATGCTATCCTTATCTTTTCCCTAATCATAAAAGTTATGCATATAAAGTTTTTTCATGAATTATAATATTTAGGGTTTGGGTATATATTAATACATTTTACAAAGGATGTTCTTTACTATTTCTAACATTTTTTTAATGGACACTGAACCTCATCAAATGTTTTTCTGAATCAATTATTTATTTATTTATTTATTTATTTATTTATTTATTTATTTATTTGAGATGGAGTCTTGCTCTGTCGCCCAGGCTGGAGTGCAGTGGCCTGATCTGGGCTCACTGCAACCTCGGCCTCCTGGGTTCAAGTGATTCTCCTGCCTTAGCCTCCTGAGTAGCTGGGATTACAGGTGCGCACCAACATGTCCCACTAATTTTTGTATTTTTAGTAGAGACGAGGTTTTACCATGTTGGTCAGGCTGGTCTCAAACTCCTGACCTCTTGATCCGCCACCTCAGCCTCCCAAAGTGCTGGGATTACAGGCATGAGCCACCGTGCCTGGCCAAATAAATTATTTTATTATTATCATTTTCTCCTTTAGTTTATTAATACCACAAATTACAATACTATATTTTTATTTTTATTTTTATTTATTTTAAAAGAAATATAGAATTTAATATATTTTCTGATACTGATTTTCTGATGATGTTCCTTACATTCTTGATTATGATGTATAATTCTTTTTTTTTTTTTAAGACATAGTCTTGCTCTGTTGCCAGGCTGGAGTGCAGTGGTGCAATCTGGCCTAACTGCAACCTCTGCCTCCCAGGTTCAAGCGATTCCCCTGCTTCTGCCTTCCAAGTAGCTGGGACTACAGGTGCGTGCCACCATGCCCGGCTGACTTTTTTTTTTTTTTTTTTTTTGTAGTTTAGTAGAGACAGGGTTTCACCATGTTGGCCAGGATGGTCTCGATCTCCTGACCTTGTGATCCGCCCGCCTCAGCCTCCCTAAGTGTTGGGATTACAGGCGTGAGCCACCACGCCCAGCCTATCATGTATAATTCTTAATTAACTTATTTATTAGGCTATGCAATATATTTTATTAATTAACTAATGTGATGGTTGATTTTGTGGGGTTTTTTTTTACTCTTTTTTTTTTGCATAAGTTATTGAGGTATTTGTTACATGAGTAAATTCCTTAGTGGTGATTTGTGAGATCCTAGTGTGCCCATCAGCTGAGCATTATATACTGCACCATATGTGTTGTCTTTTATCCCTTACCCCCCTCCAAGTCTTCCCCCTAAATCCCCAAAAGTCCATTGTATCATTCTTATGCCTTTGCATCCTCATAGCTTATCTCCCACGTACCAGTGAAAACATACAATGTTTGGTTTTCCATTCCTGAGTTACTTCACTTAGAATGATAGTCTTCAGTCTCATCCAGGTCATTGCAAATGCTGTTAATTCATTCCTTTTCATGGCTCAGTAGTATTCCATCATATATATATTCCACAGTTTCTTTATCCACTCGATTGATGAACATTTGGGTTGGTTCCACAATTTTGCAGTTGTGAATTGTGCTGCTATAAACATGCATGTGCAAGTATCTTTTTTGAATAATGACTTCTTTTTCTCTGGGATTGCTAGATCAAATGGTAGTTCTACTTCTAGTTCTTTAAGGAAACTCCACACTGTTTTCCATAGCGGCTGTACTAGTTGACATTCCCACCAGCAGTGTAGAAGTGTTCTCTGATTGCCACATCCATGCCAACATCTACTGTTTTTTGATTTTTTGATTATGGCCATTTTTGCAGGAGTAACATGGTATCGCATTATGGTTTACATTTGCATTTCCCCGATCATTAGTGATGTTGAGCATTTTTTCATGTTTGTTGGTCATTTGTATATCTTCTTTTGAGAACTGTCTCTTCATATCCTTAGCCCCCTTTTTGTTGAGATTGTTTTTTTCTTACTGATTTGTTTGAGTTCATTGTAGATTTTGGCTATTAGTCCTTTGTCAGATATATAGATTGTGAAGATTTTCTGCCACTCTGTGGGTTGTCTATTTACTCTGCTGACTGTTCCTTTTACCGTGTGAAAGCTCTTTAGTTTAATTAGGTCCCAGCCATTTATCTTTGTTTTTATTGCATTTGCTTTTGAGGTTTTGGTCATGAAATCCTTGCCTAAGCCAATGTCTAGAAGGGTTTTTCCAATGTTATCTTCTAGAATTTTTATAGTTTCAGGTCTTAGGTTTAAGTCCTTAATCCATCTTAAGTTGATTTTTGTATAAGGTGAGAGATAAGGATCCAGCTTCATTCTCCTACATGTGGCTAGCCAACTATCCCAGCACCATTTGTTGAAAAGTGTGTCCTTTCCCCACTTTATGTTTTTGTTTGCTTTGTCAAAGATTGGTTCGCTGTAAGTATCTGGATTTATTTCTGGGTTCTCTATTCTGTTCCATTGGTCTATGTGCCTATTTTTATACCATACAATGCTGTTTTGGTGACTATGGCCTTGAAGTATAGTTTGAAATCAGGTAGTGTGATGCCTCTAGATTTGTTCTTTTTGCTTAGTCTTTCTTTGGCTATGTGGGCTCTTTTTTGGTTCCATATGAATTTTAGAATTGTTTTTTCTAACTCTGTGAAGAACCATTCAGTATTATGTTGGCTGTGGGTTTGTCATAGATGGATTTTATTACATGAAAGTATGTCCCTTGTATGCTGATTTTGCTAAGGGTTTTAATCATAAAGCAATGCTAGATTTTGTCAAATGCTTTTTCTGCACCTATTGAGATGATCATGTGATTTTTGTTTTTAATTCTGTTTATGTGGTGTATCACATTTATTGATTTGCATATGTTAAACCATCCCTGCATCCCTGGTATGAAACCCATCTGATCATGGTGGATTATCTTTTTGATATGTTGTTGGATTTGGTTAGCAAGTATTTAGTTAAGGATTTTAGCATCTACTTTCATCAAGGATATTGGTCTGTAGTTCTCTTTTTTAGTTGTGTCTTTTCCTGGTTTTGGTATTAGGGTGATGCTGCCTTCATAGAATGAATTAGGGAGGGCTCCTTCTTTCTCTATCTTGCGGAATAGTGTCAAAAGGATTATTACCAATTCTTTTTTGAAAGTCTGATGGAATTCTGCTGTGAATCTGTTTGGTCCTGGACATTTTTTTGTTGGTAATTTTTAAATTACCATTTCAATCTTGCTGTTTGTTATTGGTCTGTTCAGGGTATCTAATTCTTCCTGATTTAAGCTAGGAGGGTTGCATTTTTCAAGGAATTTATCCGTCTTTTCTAGGTTTTCTAGTTTATGTGCATAAAGGTGTTCATAGTAGCCTTGAATATACTTTTGCATTTCAGTGGTATCAGTTGTAATATCTTCTGTTTCATTTCTCAGTGAGGTTATTTGGATTTTCTCTCTTCTTTTCTTGGTTAATCTTGCTAATGATCTATTGATTTTATTTATCTTTTCAAAGAACCGGCTTTTTGTTTCATTTGTCTTTTGTATTTTGTTTGTTTTGTTTGTTTCAATTTCATTTAGTGCTGCTCTGATCTTGGTTATTTCCTTCCTTCTGCTGGGTTTGGGTTTGGTTTGTTCTTGCTTCTGGAGTTCCTTGAGGTGTGACCTTAGATTGTCTGTGCTCTTTCAGACTTTTTGATGTAGGCATTTAGGGCTATGAACTTTCCTCTTTGCACCACGTTAGCTGCTCCCAGAGGTTTTGATAGGTTGTGCTGTTATTGTCATTCAATTCAAAGAATTTTTTTAATTTCCATCTTGATTTTGTTTTTGGCCCAGTGCTCCTTCAGGAGCAGGTTACTTAATTTCCATGTAGTTGCATGGTTTCAAAGGTTCCCTTTGGAGTTGATTTCCAGTTTATTCCACTGTAGTCAGAGAGAGTGCTTGATATTATTTCAATTTTCTTAAATTTATTGAGGCTTGTTTTATGGCCTATCATATGGTCTATCTTGGGAAAGTTCCATGTGCTGTTGAATAGAATGTGTATTCTGCGGTTGTTGTTTGAAATGTTCTGTATATATCTGTTAAGTCCATTTGTTTAGGTTGAGTATAGTTTAAATCCATTGTTTCTTTGTTGACTTTCTGTCTTTATGACCTGTCTAGTGCTGTCAGTGGAATATTGAAGTCCCTCACTATTATGGTGTTGCTGCCTTTCTCGTTTCTTAGGTCTGTTAGTAATTGTTTTATACATTTGGGAGCTCCAGTGTTAGGTGCATGTATGTTTAGGATTGTGATGTTTTCCTGTTGGACCAGGCCTTTTACCATTATGTAATATCCCTCTTTGTCTCTTTTAACCGCTGTTGCTTTAAATTTTTTTTGTCTGATATAAGAATAGCTACCCCTGCTCACTTTTGGTGTCCATTTGCATGAAATGCCTTTTTCCACCCCTTTAAGTTTATGTGAGTTCTTATGTGTTAGGTGAGTCTCCTGAAGACAGCAGATGGTTGGTGAGTTCTTATCCATTCTGTGGTTCTGTGGAGCATTTAAGCTGTTTACATTCAATGTCATTATTGAAATGTGAGGTACCATTGCATTCATCATGCTCTTTTTTGCCTGCATACCTTGTTTTTTGTTTTTGTTTTTTTAACTTGTATTTTTGTTTTATAGGTCCTGTGTGATTTATACTTTAAAGAGAATCTGTTTTGATGTGTTTCCAGGATTTGTTTCAAGATTTAGAGCACCTTTTAGCAGTTCTCGTAGTGGCTTGGTAATGGTGAATTCTCTCAGCATTTGTTTGTCTGAAAACGACTATATCTTTCCCTCATATATGATGCTTAGTTTTACTGGATACAAAATTCTTGGCTGATAATTGTTTTGTTTGAGGAGGCTGAAGATAGGGCCCCAATCCCTTCTAGCTTGTAGGATTTCTGCTGAGAAATCTGCTGTTAATCTGATAGGTTTTCCTTTATAGTTTACCTGGTGCTTGTGTCTCACAGCTCTTAAGATTCTTTCCTTTGTCTTAACTTTGCTTTTTTTTTAAATTTTATTTTAGTATTATTATTATACTTTAAGTTGTAGGGTACATGTGCACAACGTGCAGGTTTGTTACATATGTATACATGCGATATGTTGGTGTGCTGCACCCATTAACTCATCATTTAGCATTAGGTATATCTCCTAATGCTATCCCTCCCCCCTCCCCCCACCCCACAACAGTCCCTGCTGTGTGATGTTCTCCTTCCTGTGTCCATGTGTTCTCATTGTTCAATTCCCACCTATGAGTGAGAACATGCGGTGTTTGGTTTTTTGTCCTTGCGATAGTTTGCTGAGAATGATGGTTTCCAGTTTCATCCATGTCCCTACCAAGGACATGAACTCATCATTTTTTATGGCTGCATAGTATTCCATGGTGTATATGTGCCACATTTTCTTAATCCAGTCTATCGTTGTTGGACATTTAGGTTGGTTCCAAGTCTTTGCTATTGTGAATAGTGCTGCTATAAACTTTGGATAACCTGATGACAATGTGCCTAGGTGAAGATCTTTTTGTGATGAATTTCCCAGGTGTTCTTTGTGTTTCTTGTATTTGGATATCTGGGTCTCTAGCAAGGCTGGGTAAGTTTTCCTTGATTATTCCCCCAAATATGTTTTCCAAGCTTTTAGAATTGTCTTCTTCCTCAGGAACACTGATTATTTTTAGGTTTGGTTGTTTAACATAATCCCAGACTTCTTGGAGACTTTGTTCATATTTTCTTATTCTGTTTTCTTTGTCTTTGTTGGATTGGGTTAATTCAAAGACCTTGTCTTCGAGCTCTGAATTTCTTTTTTCTACTTGCTCAATTCTATTGCTGAGACTTACCAGAGCATTTCACATTTCTAAAAGTGTGTCCAAAGATTCCTGATTTTTTTATTGTTTTTTCTTTAAGCTATCTATTACATTGAATATTTATCCCTTCACTTCTTATATCATTTTTTGGATTTCCTTGCATTGGGCTTTGCCTTTCTCAGATCCCTCCCTGATTAGCTTAATAACTAACCTCCTGAATTCTTTTTTCAGGTAAATCAGGGGTTTCTTCTTGGTTTAGATTTATTGCTGGTGAACTAGTGTGATTTTTGGGGGGTGTTGACAAACCTTGTTTGTCATATTACCAGGGCTGGTTTTCTGGTTCCTTCTCATTTCTGGTTCCTTCTCATTTGGCTTCCTTCTGTCAGAGGGAAGGTCTAGGGCCGAAGGCTGTTGTTCAGATTCTTTTGTCCCACAGGGTCTTCCCTTGATGTAGTACTCTCCTCCTTTTCCTGTGGAAGTGGCTTCGTGTGAGCTGAACTGCAGTGATTATTGTCTCTCTTCTGGGTCTAGCCACCCAGCAAGTCTACTTGGCTCCAGGCTGGTACTGGGGGTTGTCTGCACAGAGTCCTGTGATGTGAACCTTCTATGGGTCTCTCAGTCATGGATACTAGCGCCTGTTCTGGTGGAGGTGACGGAGGGTGCAATGAACTCCATGGGGATCCTTAGCTTTGGTGGTTTAGTGCTCTATTTTTGTGCTGGTTGGCCTCCTGCCAGGAGGTGGCACTTTCCAGAAAGCATCAGCTGTAGTAGTGTGGAGAGGGACCAGAGGTGGGCAGGGCCCTAGAACTTCCAAGATTATATGTCCTTTGTCTTCTGCTACCAGAGTGGGTAGGGAAGGACCATCAGGAGGTGGGTGGGGCAGGGCTAGGCTTGTCTGAGCTCAGACTCTCCTTGGGCGAGTCTTGCTGCAGCTGCTGTGAGGGATGGGGGTAAGATTCCCAGGTGACTGGAGTTGTGCACCCAGGAGGATTATGGCTGCCTCTGCTGAGTCATGCAGGTTGTCAGGGAAATGGGGGAAAGCCGGCAGTCACAGGCCTCGCCCAGCTCCCAGGCAAACTGAAGGGCCAGTCTCACTCCCACCATGTCCCCCACAACAGCTCTGAGTCTGTTTTCAGGTGGAGAGGGAGTTGGGCTTGAAAACTTGCCCTAGGCTTTCAGCCTCCCAGCTGCGAAAGAAAAGGGCTTTAGGCCTGGCACGGTGGCTCACGCCTGTAATCCCAGCACCTTGGGAGGCCAAGACAGGTGGATTGCCTGACGTCAGCAGTTTGAGATCAGCCTGGCTAACATGGTGAAACCCCATCTCTACTAAAAATACAAAAGTTAGCCAGGCACGGTGGCGCATGCCTGCAGTCCCAGCTACTCGGGAGGCTGAAGCAGGAGAACGGCTTGAACCCGGGAGGTGGAGGTTGCAGTGAGCCGAGATCGCGCCACTCGGCGCGACCCAGCCTGGGTGACAGAGTAAGACTCCATCTCAAAAAAAAAATAAATAAATAAATAAGAAGAAAAGGGCTTTAGTTCTTCCTCTGCCTGTGAAGTCTGCAAGCTGGAATCACGCCCTCCCTCGAGTTCTGGCCAGGAGGCTTCTCACCCTGTTCAAATTGTTACAAACTTCTGCTAGAGAAGTCCTTCTCTCTGTGGAGTTTTCCCCCTGCTCCTCTGGCCATTCTCCTGATGGATCCCTGTGGTGCCAGGCAAGAATGGGCTGCTTAGGGATCCAGCAAGCTCCCAGTGCCTTTCTGCTACTTCCTCTACCCTTGTATTTCGCTCGGCTGAGCTCTCTAACTTGACTCAGCTCCAGGTAAACTCGGGAACTTCTGCAAACACATCTTCAGTTTCTCCAGTGGGTGTGTGTGTTCGGGAGAGGAGGGTCTCCCTTTCCCACTTCCGCGTTTGGGGCACTCACAGTATTTGGGGTGTCTCCCAGTTCCTGCAGGAGCAGTCTGCTTCCTTCAGAGGGTTTGTGGGTCCTCTCAGGATTGCTGGTCTATTCTTGCAGTTGATCTGGAGCTAAAATTTACAATACCGATGGTTGATTTTGGGTGTCAACTTGACTGAATTAAGGGATTCCCAGATAGCTGGTTAGGTATCATTTATTCTTAATCATTGCACTACTTCTCCTCAATGCTTCACCAGGCACTGAGCCCACCCCTCTTCTGCTGAAAGGGCAACCCAGGTGGTTTGGCCTTTTACTGGCCTTTTCACTGGGCTGCCCCAGGCATGTCTGTGAGGCGATTTCCAGAGGAGATTGGTATGTGAGTTGGAAGACTAAGTGGGGAAGATTCACACTCAATAGACACAGGCACCATCCATTTGTCTGGGGACCCAGATGGAACAAAAAGGAAGAGGAAGGACAAATTCTTGCTCTCTCTTTCTTCTGGAGCCAGGATGTCCTTCCTTTCTTGACCTTGGATGTCAGGACTCCAAGTTCTCAGGCTTTTACACTATGGGGCTGGGACCAGCTAGGCCCACAACTTTTGGGTCTCGAACTGAGAGCCATGCTACCTGCTTCCTTAATCTGATGATTTCAGACTTGACAGGGCCACCCTACTAGCTTTCTGCTTCTCCAGCTTGCAGACAGCCTATTGTGGGATATTTCTGACTCCATAATGGAATGAACTAATTACTATTATCCTAATAAATCTCTTCTCATCTCTCTCTCTATATATGTGTGTGTGTGTGTGTGTGTGTGTGTGTGTGTGTGTGTGTGTATCGATAGGATATAGAGACATATAGCCTATCAATTCTGTCTCTCTGGAGAATCCTAAGACAACTAAATATATTTTATGTATTAAATATATTTAACATTGTAGAGTTGGTTCACTAATATTTTACTTAGGATTTTTGAATCTTCATGCATAGGTAAAGGGGGCTATAATTTCCTTTTTGTATTCTCCTTAGTGTTTCCTTCTTTAGCCGTCACCCTTTCATTGTGCCCACTTTCTCTGAACAACATTGCTTCCCCATCATGCTTCTTCCTCTAGAAGGCTAGAAGGCTTTCCTCTGGTAATTTTGGTGCAAACAGAAAATTCTTGTTAGTTATTATACTGAGAAATTTAGTTTCCTTAGTCTCAAAAATCTTATTCCAGGATAAACTCAGTGCATTGTTATTCATAGTCAAAATCCCATTAATGTGTTTTCTTGGGTTTCCTTTGTAAGCTCTACTAAGAACTAGAAGAAATTTTGAAATGGCAGCTTTTCTTTAATGCTTTAAAATTCACATTTTAGAAAGGCCTCAGGTTAGAGAACCTTTGCTTTTCAACACAACCTATAGTTTCTTTAAGTGGAGGGGCACCCGAGTATTTTGTCCATTTCCAGAGCAAATCCTTGGAGATGTGCCCCTGCATCACATCCCAAACTAGTTAGTCATTTCAAGTAGAAAGGAGGTACATGTGAAGAAAGAACTTGAAGAATTGTATTTCTGTATCTTTGTGTGTGTGTGTGTGTGTGTGTGTGTGTATGTATGTGTGTGTGTGTGAGGAAGAGAGAGAGACAGAGAGACAGGATCTTCTCTGTCATCCAGGCTGGAGTGCAATGGCACGATCTGAGCTCACTGCAACCTCCGCCTCCCAGGATTAAGCAATTCTTGTGCCTCAGCCTCCTGAATAACTGGGATTACAGGCATGTGCCACCGTGTCTGGCTAATTTTTGTATTTTTTATAGAGACGGGGTTTTGCCATGTTGCCCAGGCTGGTCTCAAACTCCTGAGCTCGGGTGATCCACCTGCCTCAGCCTCCCAAAGTGCTGAGATTATAATAGTGAGCCACCACGCCCGGACTTGTTTCCATATCTTAAAAAAAATAAAAATAAAAAAGCATGGAAATATGAGTTCTTCTGTTCCTTGAAACTGGGAGTGCATTAATTCATTCTTTCATTCAGCAAATATTTTAGGACCTACTATGTGTCAGGCTCTTTTCTAAGGGCTGAGAATTTGAGGCTAAAAAGCAGGGAACAAAAAATTAAATAAACTGACTTCATGGAGCTTACGATGTAGTGAAAGAGACAGACCCAACACATAAATACACAACTTAATACCAGGTAGTGGTAAGTGCTTGGAAGTAAAATAATGTCAGATAAAGAGACAAACAAAAATGGCATGGAACGCTTTTATGAATTATGATCTGGAAAGGACTCTCTGAGGCTTTCTTTTCCTGTCCTTGTTTTATTCCTTATTTCATATCTTTCCTTTTCTTTCCTTCAGTCATGCAGACACCTGATGGAAGAGTCTTCCAGGCAGAAGGAAGGACAAATACCCTTGATATACATGTACTTGGCCGGCATGAGGAAGAGCAATGTGGAAGGTATGGTTGGAACAATGTGAGAGAGGAAGTGAGTACAGGGAGACCAAGTTTGAGACACAGGCAGGGCCAGGTGTTGAAAAGTTTTTAGAGTGCCTGCTTTCCTTGAAATACCATGGGGTGCTTACTCTTGGACACGTATACAGAGGGATACACTCAGATGTAGCTTCTAGTAGAGTCCTGGGTGAGGGGCGTGTTTTGTGGTTTTAATTGTAAGACAATAAAAACGCACAAGGGGAAATTGCTCAAGCTAGATAAATGCAGGGATCCATTGCTGGCCCCACAGGTACCCACAGGGAGGCTGATGAAGGCTAAGATCAATGCAAGGGCTGCTTCAGGGGAATTCAGAGGCGTGTTATATGTCTTATTTCCGGGTGCAGTAGCAGTAACTGGGTCACGCCAGCATTTTTTCAAAAAACCACCTCCCCCGCTTCAGATTACTACCGGCTTCCCTCTTCTAGTAAAAGAGACATCTGCTTCTATGTATAGAAGAGCCTTCAGGCCCTGAATTATAGTGTGGTAATTCATGCTTAACTGTTTTAATGGCTGCATAGCCCTCAGCCTTGCATCTCCTAACGCAGGAGATACTAATTATTAGGCTATAATTCACACTGTGTGAGTTCTTATTGCTCATCTTTCTTGTAGGATACAGATAGTTGGGAACATATAGTGCCTGTGAATGACCAGTATGCTCACTCCAATAACATCAGGCAAGCAATTCCACATAATACTGAAGAAGGTAAGAGTGTAAAGACAGATAACAAAATGGCTTTTGAGAGACAAGGATCATTTTTAACAAAGTGCATTAACTAATTGACAGTGGTAGCAACTGTCTACAGTCTGCTCATACAAAAACTTTTTTTTTCTTTTTGAGATGATGTCTCGTTCTGTCACCCAGGCAGGAGTGCAGTGGCCTGATCTCGGCTCACTGCAACCTCCGCCTCCCAGGTTCAAGCGATTTTCCTGCTTCAGCCTCCCAAGTAGCTGGGATTACAGGCGCCTGCCACCATGCCCAGCTAATTTTTGTATTTTTAGTAGAGACGGGGGTCTCACCATGTTGGCCAGGCTGGTCTCGAACTCTTGACCTCAAGTGATCCACCTGCCTTGGCCTCCCAAAGTGCTGGGATTACAGGCGTGAGCCACCGTGCCTGGCCTGCTGATACAAAAACTTTCTATCAAACCCTTGTAAGGACAAGGGCTTATAAACTAAAGTACAGCCTTTTAAGGGAGACTGCAAAAAGCACTGACATTTGTCTGCAAATTCACCTGCAGATCTGATGAATCTTTTGTGATGGATTTGGGAAACATATTATTTTCTCACAGCTTAAGGAAAAAGTTGTGGTGTCTTTTGAAGGTTCAAGAACTAGAACTTACGAAGCCATGGGAATGATACAAATTGGTAGAAAACAATAACATTCTCACAGCTGGACCATCTGGTGGGTTATTCAGACATAGCTTTGTATATCACTGAGCGGCTGCCATAAAGCACCAGATGAAGATAAGAGCTGGCGTCTACTTCTAATTTTCCAAGGCTTAAATTGCTTTAGTGCCTTAAGTTCTGGAAATGAGAACTTCATCTGCAACAGCCTCAGCATCTTCCAAAATGTAATTTTTTTAAACAAATTATGATGTCAGTAGAACTTTAGGATAAGAACCTTACATCTTCATTATCAACTCTATGCCAGTAAAGTGCGTGTGTCTTTTAAATAAATGTCATAATCTCTACCATACGCTCTTCTGTGTAAAGAACACCTTCTGCTTTTATTTACCTTATTTTTAAAAGCTTTTCTTTCTTTAGCATAGCATAATGGGTACAAGAATACTTCTGAAACCAGATTGGCAGTGGATAAATCATGGATCTACTGCTGACTGGCTATGTGGCAAGTTACTTATCCTTTCTGGGCCTCAGTTTCCTAATCTTAAAATGGGGATAATAATAATGCCTTATAGGATTGTTGAGAGGAATAAATGACTTAATTAAGAGCTCAGCACACTACCTGTCCCATAGAAAACACTATACAAATGTTCATCATTGTCAAGACAATAATTATTATTATTATTATTGCTAAATTGAATTGGATGTAGTCTCCCTGACCCTCCAGTTCTTTCTTGATGGCCAGTACAAATGTTCACACATAAAAGCCTTCAATAATTAACTAATAAAGCCATATTGTGTTATATAAATATGAACAACAACAGCTCATTTATTGTGCTGCCATTGCATAACTGGCGCTGTTCTAGGTGCTTTCCAAAGTCATCAGGTATCTATTAAGTGCTTTCTAGGTGACTGAGATATTGGGGATATAACAGTGGAACAGAAGGCTTGGTTCCCATCTAGGAAGTAGGTATTATTAGCATTCTTTTGCAGGTGAAGAAATTGAGTCTCTATGTATTTTTAAAACTTGCTTATTGCCACTCTGTTAGTAAGTGGCAGCTTCCCAAAGGCTGTCTGACTCCAAAGCCTGGGTTCTACCCACTACATTTTGCTTTCTCCCTTGATATAAAATCTAGAGTCTTTGAGACTCAATAATGGAAGCCAAATTTGGGACATTTTGAGCACTGTAACAAATAATGTTTGTAATGGGTTGTAATATGTTGAATTAAAAAAATACATGCATTATAAAGGGAGTGGGGTGGGAGAAAAAGCTTTTCTTTAAAGAATGCCAACTAATATGTAAAAAGAATGATAGAATTCAAAAATCACTATTTTGTAACTCCCAATTTAATAACTGATTTAGGCAAGTATTAATCATAAATTCTAAAGTTATTGGGTAAAAATATATTAGAGAATTGGTTATTCACACAGTCTCAAAGTATCACTCCACAGATTATCTACTAGTTACACAGGGAAAAGTTACCTTACCAATAGATCAAATTCAGCATCTCTAACAATAACACAAGCTAGGCCGGGCACGGTGGCTCACCCCTATAATCCTAGCACTTTGGGAAGCAAAGGCAGGCAGATCACCTGAGGTCAGGAGTTCGAGACCAGCCTGGCCAACGTGGCAAAACCCCATCTCTACTAAAAGTACAAAAATTAGCCAGGCGTGGTGGTGTGTGCCTGTAATCCCAGCTACTCAGGAGGCTGAGGCAGGAGAATCACTTGAACCCGGGAGGTGGAGGTTGTGATGAGCCAAGATTGCGCCATTGCCCTCCAGCCTGGGTGACAGAGTGAGTCTCCATCTCAAAAATAAATAAATAAATAAATAACACAAGTTACCTTAGGTGATGCGATAAGGAATATACAGCATTGTCTGTGTAATACTCTTGTAATATTCTGACTCTAACCATGAGGAACAACCAGACATATTTGGGATGTAGAAAAGACATTTTACATGACAACTGGCTAGGCTCTTTAAAAAAGATAGTGTTATGAAAAACAAAAACAAAAAGACAAGGAGTCTAGCACATGTTGAAACAAACTAAAGAAACGTAACAACAAAATGCAATGCTAAAAACTTGATTAGATCCTGGATCAGGAAAAAAAGCAGTTATAAAAGACATTGTGGCCTCAAATAGGAAAATTTGAAGATGGACTATATATTAGATGATAATATTGAATTGTTAAATTTATTTGTTGTGATAATGTTATTATGGGGTTATGAAGGAGAATATCTCATTCTTAGGATACTCATGCCAAAGTATTTAGGGATAATGTGTCATTGTGTCATGATGTCTGAGACCTAATTTGAGATACTTCAGCTCAAGATATGTAAGTGTGTGTGTGTGTGTGTGTGTGTATGTCTGTGTGTGTGTGTGCATGTCTATGGGGAGAGAGAAAGAAGGGGTAGGATTAAGCAAGCAAATGTGGCAAACATAGAAGGGTATACAGGTATTCTTTGTATTATTCTTTCAACTTTTTGTAAGTTTAAAATTTTTCAAAATTGAAAGTTGGGAGAAAAAAATTACTAGCACTACAGATCTTTGCAGACTAAATAAATCTTGGTAATGCAATGCCTCCCTTAACAAGGCTAAGCAAAGATGAAATTCTTTTCCTTAGTTCCAGTGATAGGTACCTACCTCATAGTTTTCAGATTTACAGGTCTTTGTTGTGTCTATTGATGAACAGAATTTAATTAGTATCTCTGAATCCAAATTTCTCAGAGGGTGAATCTAGTTAATCAAACTCTGTTCAAGTTCATTCTGGTTCTGGACTAATCGCCAGTAACTAAGGTACTCAGAATCTTCGGCAAACACAAATGTGTGGTGGAACCTGTCCCTGTGAGTGGGGGGGGGATTGACAGTACCTGTTGGCCAGACTCCATGGAAAGTGTCTGTTACAAAGGGTGGATCCTGAGCTACATTGACATAAACGATGAATAGGAGTTTGACAGGAAAGAAAGTGTAACGAGTAGACACTCAGATAAGAATAGCATCTGCTTAGGCATTATTCTCCAGGGCAGTATTCACCACATTAAAAAAAAAAATACCCACCTCAAACATATACATATTTATTAATAAATTAGGCATTTATTCTATTTTATATTGTAACACACACACAAAGATAGAAATTAACATGTATGAAATAAAAATAGATATAAACTGAAGTTCATGCATTTTCTTCCCCTACTCCAATGTTTTATGCACTCTATTTTGCAGCCACTTCAGTGATTGCTGTTTAACATTGGAATTCATTTGTGAGCACCTACATGTATCTTTCTATATCAATACCTGAAAGAGTTTTTATCAATAAAAAAATTGAAATATTTAATTTTATGTGTTTCAGAAGGAATTGCACATAATTTTTCATAAAGAATGTGTTTTCCCCACCAATGTCTTAAGCTTATCGATGTCTGTGCCTATCCTCAAAATAAGATAGGTACCTTAGGTTGCTTCCTTTCCATTGGCCTCTACTTCTCTGTCTGACATCCCCTTGATTTTGGAATACTATAATTATACTTTTCATTATGGACTTTATGAATATATTACTTATTCATTGTCATTGTTTCAACTAGTGATCTTCAAACTTTTTTGGCTGTGTGCTCATATTAGGTTTTTAAAAATTGAGCAAGTATGTACATATACTTAATTTTAAATTACATTATATACACTATAGTAATAGATTATATACATGTAAAGGTTTCGTGAAGAATTTGTTTTTAGAATGCGGATTGAAAAATAAATATAAGTAGACATGTTAATTGCTTCCTATAGCATACCCTCTATCAGCCAGGGCTCTCCAGAGAAACAGAACAAATAGAACACATATAGAAACAGAACAAATATACCCATATATGTATGTATATCGCAAGAGAGAAAAAAGAGATTAGTTTTAAGGAAGGGAATTGGCTCATGTGATTGTGGAGGCTGGCAAGTCCAAAATCTGCATGGTAGGCTGGAGACCTAGGGAAGAGTTGATGTTGCAGTTTGAGTCTGAAAGCATTTTGCTAGCAGAATTCCCTCTTCCTTGGGGGAGGTCAGTCTTTTTCTTAAGGCCACTGATTAGATGAGTCTCCCCATCACGTTCTGGAGGGTAATCTGCTTTAGTTAAAGTCTACTGATTAGAATGTTAATTTTACATAAAAAATGCCTTCACAGCAACATTCAGATTGTTGACCAAATATCTGGCTACCGTGTCTTAGCCAAGATGTAAAATTAACCACACATCACCAGATCCTTTTATGTTGTCCTGGCTTTCATTTTTCACACTTTGGAGCTCATAGGTTTGACAAATTATATTGTTTAAAAGCTATTACTATGGTTTGAATGTGTCTCCCCAAATTTTATGTGTTGGAAATATAATACCCCTGCTGTTATGAATAGGTTTATGGATTAACAAGGCTTCTTCCCTCATGAATGGAGAAATGTTGCTATCACTGGAGTGAGCTCATTACCATGGGAGTGGCTTTGTCATAAAAGTGAGGTCTCTCTGGCTTTCTTGCTCTTGTCCTCTCATCATGTGAATGCCTTCCACCATGTAATGATGTAACACAAAGGCCCTCCCCAGATGCTGGCACCATGCTTTTAGACTTCTCAGCCTCCAGAACCATGAAATTAAATAAACCTTTTTTCTTTATAATTTGCTCAGTCTATGGTATTCTGATATAGCATCAGATAATGGACTAAGAAAGAAAATTGGTAACAGGAAGGGAGTTGTTGCGATAACCAATACCCGGAAATGCGGAAGCAACTTTGGAACTCGGAAGATGCTAGAAGAATTTGGGGAATGATATGATTTGGCTGTGTCCCCACCCAAATCTCATCTCAAATTTTAATCCAAATTGTAATCCCTATGTGTCCACTGAGGAACCTGATGGGAGGTGATTGGATCATGGGGGCAGTTTCCCCCATGCTGTTCTCATGATAGTGAGGGGCTTCTCATGAGATCTGATGGTTTTAAAGTTGCTAGTTTTCCTGTGCTCTCTCGCTCTCTGGCTCTCTCTCGCCTACCATCATGTAAAATGTGCCTTGCTTCCCCTTCACCTTCCACCATGATTGTAAGTTTCTTGAGGCCTCGTCAGCGATGTGGAGCTGTGAGTCAATTAAACCTCTTTTCTTCATAAATTACCCAGTCTCGGATAGTATCTTTATAGCAGTGTGAAAATGTACTAATACAGAGAATTGGTATTGGGATAGTGGGGTATTGCTGTAAAGACAACCTGAAAATGTGGAAGCAACTTTGGAACTGGCTAATGGGCAGAGGTTAGAACAGTTTGGTGCAGAAGGGGACAGGAAGATGAGGGAAAGTTTGGAACTTCCTAGAGACTTGTTTAATGGTTTTGATAAAAATGCTGATAGTAATATGGACAATAAAATCCAGGCAGAGGTGGTCTCAGATGGAGATGAGGAACTTATTGGAAACTAGTTCCCAATAAGTCAATAGCAAAGGTCACTTTTGCTATGCTTTAACAAAGAAACTGGTGGCATTTTGCCCCTACCCTAGAGATCTATGGAACTTTGAACTTGAGAGAGATAATTTAGGGTATCTGGTGGGAGAAATTTCTAAGCAGCAAAGCATTCAAGAGCTGACCTGGTTTTTCCTGAAAGCATGTAGTTATATGTGCTCACAAAGAAATGGTTTGAAACTGGGACATATGTTTAAATGGGAAGCAAAGCATAAAAGTTTGGAAAATTTGTAGCCTAACCATGTGGCAGAAAAGAAAAACCCATTTTTTGGGGAGGAATTCAAGCCTCCTGCCGAAATTTGCATAAGTAA
Organism: Homo sapiens; assembly: GCF_000001405.40. Taxonomy (NCBI): domain Eukaryota; kingdom Metazoa; phylum Chordata; class Mammalia; order Primates; family Hominidae; genus Homo; species Homo sapiens. The sequence goes on along the minus strand of NC_000012.12, from coordinate 45,511,900 downwards.
CGAGGAGGAGCTGACTGTTAATACCAAAGACAATGAGGAAAATGTCTTCAAGGCATGTCAGAGACCTTCACTGCAGACCCTCCCATCACAGGCCCAGAGGCCTAAAAGGGAAAAATGGTTTTGTGGGCCAGGCCCAGGGCCACAGTGCTCTTTGCAGTCTTGGGACAACAAGTGCCCTGCACCCCAGCTGCTCCAGCTCCAGCCGTGGCTAAAAGGGGCCAAGGTACAGCTGGGGCCATTGCTTCAGAGGGTGAAAGCCCAAAGCCTTGGCAGCTTCCACATGGTTTTGGGCCTGGGGGTGCACAGAAGACAAGAGTTGAGCTTTGGGAGCCTCCACCTAGATTTCAGAGGATGTATGGAAATGCCTGGCTGTCCAGGCAGAAGTCAGCTACAAGGGTGGGGCCCACATTGAGAACCTCTGCTAGGGTAGTACTGAAGGGAAATGTGGGGTTGGAGCCCCAACACAGAGTCCTTACTGGGGTATGGCCTAGTGGAGCTGTGAGAAGGGAGCCACCATCCTCTAGACCCCAGAATGGTAGGTCCATCAACAGCTTGCATTGTGCACCTGGAAAACCAGAAGGCACTCAATGCCAGCTCATAAAAGCAGCTAAAGGAACTGTACCCTGCAAAGCCACAGGGGTGGAGCTGCCCAAAGCTATGGGAACCCACCCCTTGCATCAGCATGCCCTGGATGTGAGACATAGAGTCAAAGGGGATTATTTTGGAGCTTTAAGATTTAATGATTGCCCTGCTAGATTTTGGACTGCATGGGGCTTGTAGCCCCTTTGTTTTTCCCATTTGGAATGGGAACATTTACCCAATGCCTGTACCCCTATTGTATCTTGAAAGTAACTAACTTGTTTTTGATTTTTACAGGCTCATAGGCAGAAGGGACTTGCCTTGTCTCAGATGAGACTTTGGACTTGAACTTTTGAGTTAATCTGGAAAGAGTTAAGTCTTTGGAGGACTGTTGGGAAGGCATGATTGGTTTTGAAATGTAAAAAGGACATGTGATTTGGGAGGGATTGGGGCAGAATGATATGATTTGGCTGTATTCCCACTCAAATCTCATCTCGAATTGTAATCTGAATTGTAATCCCCACGTATCCAGGGAGGGACCTGGTGGGAGGTGATTGAATCATGGGGCAGTTTTCCCCATGCTGTTCTCATGATATTGAGGGATTTCTCACAAGATCTGATGGTTTCAAAAGTGGCAGTTTTTCCTGTGCTCCCTCTCTCTTGCCTACCATCATGGAACACATGCCTTGCTTCCCCTTTGCCTTTTGCCATGACTTTAAGTTTCCTGAGGCTTCCCCAGCCATGTGGAACTGTGAGTCAATTAAACCTCTTTTCTTCATAAATTACTCAGTCTCAGGTAGTATCTTTATAGCAGTGTGAAAAGAGACTAATACAGAGAAGTAGGCTAGAAAAAGTCTGTACTAGCTTGAATGAAATGTTAAGAGTGATTTTGATGTGGGCTTGGAAGAAGAGAAGACTAAGGATAGTCTGGAACTTCTTAGAGATTACTTAAGTAATTGTGACCAGAATGTTGATAGAACTATGGACACTAAGGCCATTCTGATGAGGTCTTATGTCTCAGATGGGACTGAGAAATAAGGTATTGGAAATTGGAGTAAAGGCCATTCTTGTTATAAAGTGGAAAAGAACTTGGCTGAACTGTGTCTGCGCCTGAAAACTTTATGGAAAGTGGAATTTAAGAGTGATGAACTGGAATATCTAGTGGCTTAGCCAAGTTGACACACAAAATTAACCACACACCACCATATCCTCTTATGTTGCCCTGGATTTCATTCTTCATGCTTTAGAGCTCACAGGTTTGACAAATATTGGAAGAAATATTTAAACATCAAAGCATTCAGGCTGCTGCATGGCTACTTTTAACTGCTTATAGTAAAATAAGAGGAAAGAGATGATTTAAAGATATAATTTATAATTAAAAGGGAAGCAGAGTGGAAAGATCTGGAAACTTTGCAGCCTGGCTATATGGTAGACAATGAAAGGGCTTTTTAGCAGAGGAAACCAAGGGTGTGACCAAGCAACTGATTGATACAGAAATTAGTGTGAATAGAACAAAGCCGGAGACTGTTCATCAGGACAATAAGAGAAAAACCCCAAAGGCATTTCAGAGATCTTGAAGGCTGTCTCTCCTAACACAGGCCCAGGGTTCTAGAGAACAGAATGGTTTTGGAGGACAAGCCCTTGCTCAGGGCCACCTTAGGTTTTGCTCCCTGCATTCTGAAGCTGTTCTTTCCAGCTACCCACGCTGTGGCTCAAGTGGGCCCAGGTGTGGCTTGACCCGCCACTCCAAAAGGTACAAGTGGTAAACCTTGGTGGTGCTCATGAGGTGCTAACACTGCTGATTTAAGTAAAGCAGAATGCAAGAGCTGTGGGGGCATTACTTCCTCTTTCTAGATTTCAAAGGATGTTGCAAGCAGCCTGGTAGCCCAGGCAGAGCCTTATTGCAGGAGTTAGAGCCACTGCAGAAAGCCCCTTCTAGGGCAATGCTGGGTGGAAATGTGAGTCAGAGCTGGTGCTGCCATGGATAACCCCCACTAGAACAATACCTAGTGGAGCTCCAGAAGCAGAGCCACGCCTAGAACCTGAGAACTGTAGTTACCAGTGTGCCACACTAGCCTGGGAGAACTGCAGGCATGAGACTCTAACCCATGAGAACTGTTGCATGGCATGAGCCCAGCAAAGCCATACAGATGGGGCTGCTTGAGGCTTTAGGACATAAATCCTCCAGTGTGTCCAGGACGTGGCACATAGAATGAAAGATCATTCTGAAACTTTAAGGTTTAATGCTGTTTTGTCTGTTGATTTTTAGACTTACTTAGGATCAGTAATCCCTTTTTTCTTACTTCTTTCTCCCTTTTGGAATGGGAATGTCTATCCTATGCCTGTCCCACCATTGTATTTTGGTGGGACAATGAAGTAGACAACTTGTTTTTTTGTTTTGTTTTGTTTTGTTTTCTCCTTCCAATAATACTTTATTTATTTATTTATTTTTTAATTATTATACTTTAAGTTTTAGGGTACATGTGCACAACGTGCAGGTTTGTTACATATGTATACATGTGCCATGTCGGTGTGCTGTGCCCATTAACTCGTCATTTAGCATTAGGTATATCTCCTAATGCTATCCCTCCCCCCTCCCCCCACCCCACAACAGTCCCCAGTGTGTGATGTTCCCCTTTCTGTGTCCATGTGTTCTCATTGTTCAGTTCCCACCTATGAGTGAGAACATGCGGTGTTTGGTTTTTTGTCCTTGCGATAGTTTGCTGAGAATGATGGTTTCCAGTTTCATCCACGTCCCTACAAAGGACATGAACTCATCATTTTTTATGGCTGCATAGTATTCCATGGTGTATATGTGCCACATTTTCTTAATCCAGTCTATCGTTGTTGGACATTTAGGTTGGTTCCAAGTCTTTGCTATTGTAAATAGTGCTGCTATAAACATACGTGTGCATATGTCTTTATAGCAGCATGATTCATAATCCCTTGGGTATATACCCTGTAATGGGATGGCAACTTGTTTTGATTTCACAGCCTCACAGCTGGCGGGAATTTGCCATAGAATGAATTATGCCTTCAGTTTCACCCATATCTGATTTAGATGAGACTCTGGACTTTTGAGTTGGTGCTGGAATGAGATAAGACTTTGGGGTTATTGGGATGGAGTGAATGTATTTTGTATGTGAGAAGAACATGAATTTTGGGGGCTGAAGGTGGAATGCTATGGTGTGAATGTGTCCCCCAAAAGTTCATGTGTTGAAACATACTCCCTCTGCATTCATGAATAGGTTGTCAGCTCTGCCTTTATAAATGGATTAATGTTTCTAACATGGGAATAGGCTAGTTATAAAAGCAAGCTCTCTCTGGCTCTCTTGCTCTTGCCTTCTCACCACATGATGCCTTCTGACAAGTTGTGGTGCAACACGAGGCTCCTCACCAGATGCTGGTGCCTATTTGCCCTTGGACTTCCCAGTCTCCACAACCATGTGACAAATAAACTTTGCTTTATAAATTACTCAGTTTGTAGTACTGTGTTATAGCAACAAAAAACAAACTAATATAGCTATCAATAATATTTCTTCCTATATTTTGATGCTTTCTCCTGGATTTATTGATCTTCTTATTGGACTATTTCCCCTCAGGGTGCTTTTAAAATAGGCTTTCATGTGCTAACCTATTTTTTAACCCCCTTTCCATAAACCTTTTTTATTATGTTTGAGGATAAATTTATTGTAGGTTTATATTCAAACAAGGGTTTAGCTAGATATAAAATCTTTGCTTTAATAAATGTTGATTTTATCAAAATTTTGAAAATAGTACCTCATTATCCTCTTACATTCAATGTTGTTTTTGAGAAGTTTAATATTAATTTGACTCTCATTCCTATGCAAGTATTTGCTTTTCTCACTGGAAGAGCTTTAGAATTTTTCTTTGTTTTTGATATTCTCAAATTTTACTATCATGAATTTTGTTGTAATTTTTTCTTGTGTTTTATGTGAGTTCTAGTCTCTGTGATTCCTTTAAATTTGGGGTCTTACATCTTGATTATTATTTCTTCAAAACTTTCCTGCTCTGTTCTCCCAAACCTGATCACTTTTATCTCCTTCTGGAACTTCTATTATGTAGATCTTAACATTTTAAGATCCCTCCATATTTTTAAAATTTATCTTTATGTTTTCTGTCTTTAGTCCTTTCTGATAGTTTTCCATAGAGTTCTTTAACCTGATTTTTCAATTTACCATTTTTTTCTTTGGTTCTATCTATTCTACTGTACAATTTATTGATTGAATTCTTTATTTCAACAAATTTTTTTTTTTTTTGAGACAGAGTCCACCCAGGCTGGAGTGCAGTGGTGCAATCTCAGCTTACTGCAACCTCCAACTCCTGGGTTCAAGCGATTCTCCTGCCTCAGCCTCCCGAGTAGCTGGGATTACAGGCCCCCACCACCATGCCCAGCTAATTTTTCTGTTTTTAGTAGAGACAGGGTTTCACCATATTTGTCGGGCTGGTCACAAACTCCTGATCTCAAATGATCTGCCCACCTCAGTCTCCCAAAGTGCTGGGATTGTAGGCATGAGCCACCATGCCCAGCCTATTTCAACAATTAAAAAAAAATATCCATTGTCTCCAATTGGCCTTCTTTCAAATTGCTTTTTCTGTTTCATGTTTCTAATTGTCTCCCTTATCTCTTTAATAATTTTATTTTACATTTTAAATTCTTGTTCTATCTGGTTATTTAGGGGAAAACTCTTAAACCATGTTTTTCCTCTGATCTCACACCACAACAATCATCAATATAGAAGAAAACTTCTAGGACCAAATGTGGGGGTTTTCTTCCACACACCAAGCAGTAGACAAGAGCTGAGCATCCTCAAATTCAATTCCAACACTATCTACCTGGAGATAGCATCAGAACTTAGAGGGTGAGGGCTCAGTCCCCAAGACTGCCCCTTCCCACCCCCAGACACAAGTTGCAAGTCCAGGCCTACACAGCTTCTGATCAACCAGGTTCAAGTTGGGGTTCCCATGACCCCTTCTTTGGGTTCGATTAATTTGCTCAAGTGGCTCACAGAACTCAGGAAAACACTTACTTATGTTTACCAGTTTACTATAAAGGATATTACAAAGGATACAGATGAAGAGATGCATAGGGCAAAGTACGGGCAGGAGTGAGGAGCTTCCATGCCCTCCCTGGCCACACCACCCTCCAGGAACATCTACATGTTCAGCTATCTGGAAGCTTTATGAACTCTGTCCTCTTGGGTTTTTGTGGAGGCTTCATTATGCAGGCATGATTGATTAAACCTTGGCCACCGGTGATCAACTTGACCTTCAGCCTCTCTCGTCTCCCACTTTAGGGGATGGTGCTGAAAGTCCCAACCCTCTAATCATGCTTTGCTCTTCCTTTTCGGTAACCAGATCCATTCTGAAGATATGAGTCAACATCAGCATACAAAAAGATAGCACTTTAGAGACTCCAAGGATTTTAGGAGTTGTATGTCAGGGAATGGGAAGGAAGACCAAATATTTTTTCACAATATCACACTGGTTAATTAATTCTGCTTTCTCTTATATAAAATGTTTGATTTTTGGCTTTTATTTTATAATGCTCATGCTTCTCAGGCATCTTATTTTTTCCTTCTGGGAATTAACATTCACTGTGATATACCAGCTACTTTGGCTGATAACATATACTTGAGGGACAGGCAAAAACCACAGGCCTCAGCTTATATTCACCTAAATGTATGAGGAAAAAACAGGAATTACGATGTAGAGCCTCTGGTATTTCAATCATTCCCATTTACCTGCCTCTACACACACACATATACCCAGAACCTCTCAGTAAAATCCTGCCAATGCTCATTTTCAAGGCTACCTCCTTCTGTTGTAATTACCCAGCCTATAACAGGATAGGGAGAGGAGAAGGTTCTCAAGGCCAGCTAGACCACATGCACCTGTTGTCACTCACCTTAACTAGGATCTAATACTTCCCTAGCCTTACTCTATCCGCTGGCTGAAGTTGGTGCTGCTGCCTATCTCTCCCACCATGGCCATAAGACAGGCCTATGGAAATGTGAGGCATAGAAAAAAATACAAATAGAAAATGTCAAACTTCCCCCAAACTACCATCATCTCTGCATCTGGCTCTCCCTTGTGCAAGGCTAACATTTCTTCCCCAAACTGGAACTCAACTATGTCTGTCTCCCTAAAGATTTCCCACTTTAGGGGTCCATTAACTAGTCTCTTGCTTTTGTCACATATCCAGAGTTGGGGTCAGAGGAGGGAGTAAGTGTTTTTTTGCAATCTTGCTTCACTGGCAGCCAATCATAAATGATCTAATTTATAACTATAGTGTGGGCCACAAATACTACAGTCATGTTGGTCTTGGTGTTGCTCAGATTCTCTTCCTTTTACATTGTACTGATTCTGTCTCATTCTCTTCCTCCTGTGTTGGATTGTCTCTGCCTCATTCAGGGATTTATTTGGCATTCCATGCTGGTCTATATAAGGCTAATCACGTTCTTTCCTCCAGGGGAAGTCATCAATCTTTATGGCCGCAGTTGCGCAAAATCTAGTCCTCAACTGGGAGCATCCATCAATCGCATTCACATTTGTCTGGTTTAAGACTCTGTGTCCTGGGATTTTTGAATTGGCTATGAATTTCCTAAAGTTATGTGTAAAATTTGAGACTGTCTGGAGCGGGTCTGTAACTTTCATCTGATATTGAAAGGAGTTTGCATTCTTTGAAAAGATAAGAATTAATACTCCAGTTATTTTCACTCCTATTTGCCATTTTATAAATGTGTTAGCTAGAACTCACGGAGGTGTGGCTCTCCTTTGCAAAATGTGGGAACAGATTAGCTATAGGGAGGAGGGAAAGGAGAGGAAGATAAGAGAGGCAGTGTAACCTAATGATTAAGAGCATAGACTTAAGCACCAGATTCCCTGTTTTGACTCCTAAAATGGCCATTTACTAACTTTGTAGCCTTTGATAAGTTACTTAACCTCAGTTTCTTCATTTGTAAAATGGGAATAATAACAATAATTGTTGATACGTCATAGGGTTGTTTTGAAAATTAAATAATATTAAAAAGTAAAAAGCACTTAGAATGGTATCTTGCATCAAATATGTTATTGGTATTTTTATTATTACTAAATCTGCAAGGTTTCTAACTTAGGGGACTGGGTGGATAGCAATGCCATGAATATTCATCTAGGTATCCTGTGTAGGCCTACTCCAGTGCCTTGCACGTCAGAGGAATTCCATAAACTGAGTGGAACACAATTGGATCTCTATGCTGAACTTTTAAAAGCTCATTCCTATCTTCTCACTCAACTTGCCTACTTCCTTCTAGCTTACTCTGTCTACTGGACCACACTCCATTGAATCTGTTAAAAACCAGAAAGGTATATTTGTAACATTTACACAATTAGTTACAGTAAAAAAAAAAAAATACATGTGAAATAACATTAATTTAGAAGTATTGCTTCCCCCAGCCCCCAGTCTTACACTTCATGAAATACTTTGATTCAAATTCTTTCTGAACAACTCTGACATCAGTGTCTCTGTCATTTTGGGGGCCACTTTCTGACCTGCCACATGCAGTGATTTAGGGCATATCCTGATATCCATTTAAGTTGCATGAGAATCCAAACTATTTGAATCTGTGTTTGATACTGTCACTAGAAATTTTATCCTACCCCCAAAACATACATTTACATAACCTTAAAAAACTATTTTAGAATTCATTAGGTGAACATTCATTATGTTTATTCTGACCTCTTAGAGTGATTCAAAAAGACTTGCATCATGAGCGTTTTCTGTTGCCTTCCAGAAATAATTACCTATGTTAAAGATTATCTTCTTTGTTTCTTTTTTTAAAAACACAAATTCTACCAGATTACTTTATGAGCATTCAAGCTAGCACCAATTATGGTCATTTTAGGGAAATATATCTTTCTCAAGATATTCTGACATTCAAAATTTAGTAACTAAAACAGTGCCTTATAATATTTGGAGGATTTTCTGAAGAATTGAATATGAGGCAGTTTTTTTCTGATGGATAATTTAGGGAAAATAATCTCCCCCACCTTATATTTTGGTGTATATGGTAATTATTTTTCTTTTATGAGGATAATGGAAACAATTACCTTATTGGGTCATAATGAAGATTAAAGGAGATAATTTAAGTAAGGTCCATGGTACAGTGCCCAATACACTGTAAGAGTTCTAACAGGTTATTATTGTCATTAATAAGTAATATGACACTATATTATAGATTTTATTTCCACAGCAAGTGGGAAAGAAGAAAAAGTGAGCATGGAATTCTTCCCTTCTGCTTTCTCTGTTGTGGATTAGATATGAGGCTTGTTCTGACTATACAGCCTTCCCCAAAGCTGTCAGAAGATCTCACTGGGGTGTATAATGCATCATGGGTGTGACCACCAGTTGCATTTGTCTGCCTGTATCCCATTAGGAAACAATAAACACTGGGTTATTTTCTTACTTATCTTGCCAGATTTAGACAGCTATATTTCTTTAATCACAGCTGCTGTTTGTAGGCAGTTTGGACTTCTCGCACAATTTCAGATCAGAATCCTAAATATGACTTGTTATCATGAAATAGTCTTGCCTATTTCTGAAAATATGTAGACGTCTTTCTTTTCTTCAGCCCCTTAGGCAAAATTGGGCTAGATAACAGTGACTTCAGAAGTTACTTTTGTTAAGACTTTTCAAAACACAGATAAAGAGACAAAACAATCTTCAAACCTCCTTGCTAGTAACAATAGTAGAGTCATTATTTTAGCGCCTCTGTAGTTTGAAGTGCAAGAGAGAGGGAAAATATCTGTGTCACCCTGTTGGTCTCCGTATCTTTATCCTGAAACTATGAAAAGACTGGCCAATTACAAGAATAAGAATGGCAAAGCTGGAATTTTTCCCATAACTGTTATCTTCTTCATCCTATGAATTTAAAGATCAATCTGAAAACAACTTATGTTGCAGTGTGATTCAAGTAAGTGCAATTATTAGGGTGAATCAGGGAAACCTGACAATGTGATTTCTTGTCACATTAAAGGAAGTACTATCCTTATAGTTTATAGAATGAAGGGTACTTTAAGGCAATTTGGCTCAAGTTCAGAGAACATTTCACTATGAGAATGGATTTTAGTTTGACATGGAGCGTAGGCAGACAGATGTGTATCAAATAGCATCTGGAGCATATGAAAGCTAATTTTTCACTACCAGTAAGATATAAATATAGTATGTTTCTCATTTTAAAGTGTCATTTACATCAACCAGAAATGTGATATATTAGAGCGAAAAAATCATAGCCTCTAAATAGTTCTGCCGTGGAGTCCTCATCTTTGAATAGCTGGGCAAGGATGGTGAGGACTCCTGTCTTTGAATAGGAGCTTAAATCCAACTGACTATTGTAACATTTACATTTGATTGTCTCAAAAGCACATTTTACTCATCATCCTCTCTCCCAAACTTGGTCCCCTTTCTGGATTTCCTGTCTTGGTACATGACACCATCATCCAATTAACTGAACAGAGCATAAGTCCAGGAATTATTCTGACACCTCTCTCTTCCTCACTTTATTATCCAACTCATTTCTTCTTTAACTGTGTACTCTTATTCTGCTTCACTGTGACCATACTGTTCTAAGCCACCATCAGAAGTCACCTGGCTTACCACAGTGGTCTTGTGTTTTAAAATGTACCTAGGATTTGTTTGAATCAGGTATGGTAGGACATGCAGACATAGAAATGACTGTCATAAAGGAAGACGTTGACATTCACAGATCCCTAGAAACAGGAGGCTTGGCATGCCATGAAGGGGCATCCTGTGGGGAAACACCAGGGTTGGTCAGGAGGAAGAGGAAGTGAGGGGAAGGTGTGGGCAAGAGACTGTTGTAGTGACCATGGGAAGAAATGGGTGAGGCAGAATAAGGATTGGCTAGTGTGAATAATCTTGGCAGGCTCTGGGGCATAGCACCTATTCCAAGTTGTCTGGTGACTGGCTGTGGGGTGATGGGGACAGGTGAATGGGGCCCAGAGTCAAAGAGCTAGAGAGAGGAGTTGGTTGGGCTTTATGAGCATTGGGTGATTGTTTTACATACAAAAGGTGTACTTGCAGGAAAGTTCTTTACTATCTCTAGAAATTAGCTAGCCTTGGGAGGGACAGTCCCTCCAGGGTCAGCAAAGCCCCAAATGTGAAAACATCAGAAACACATGATTAATATACCTTTTAACAGTCTCCTTGAATCCAGTCTTCTTCACCAGAGTGAGAGAGCCTTTACAAATACAAATATGAAGACATCACTCTTCATTCCTTAATCCCTCAATATTTACCTATTGCTCTTCCTAGAAGTTCCTAAATGATCTGGTACCTACCTACCTATTGGACTTCATCTGGAACCCTCTTTTTTTTGTGAACTCCAGCCACACTAGCTTGTTTTCAGTTCTTGAAATGTGCTGTCTTCCTCCCTGGGCCTTTACATGTGCAATCATCTCTAAGTGGAACATTCTTCCCCGCTTCCTCTTCCCCATAGTGGTACCTAACTGCTCTGGAACTCTCAGCTTCCTCAGGGAAGTCTTCCCTTTAATCCCCAGACCACATTATGTCTTAGACCCTGTTTTAGGCTCTCATAGCATTTCATGATCCTCCTTCAGTACACTTATCAAGGTTTGTGATAATATGCTGATTTTGTGATTAATTTCTGCTGCCAGGGATCCATGAAGGCAGAATTGTGTCCAAGTGACTCATAGTATGTTCCTAATTTCTAGCAGAGTGCTTTAATACACACAAGAGGCTTCAATAAATATGTGTTGTGTGAGTGAATAAATGCCAGTCTTGGTTAAGGATATAGACAATATTTTCAACTTAAAGACTGAGTTGGAAAAACAGAAACGGTTTTCCTGAGCCTGTTTTTTAAAAAATGCTTGCAGTTGATACATAATTGCTCTGAGTGATGTGTTATCAGAAGTGATGGGAGCCATACCAGACTGTCTCTACTGGGCATTGTGTGTCATGGCAATAAGACATTTGACATGATTTGAAACATGAAGGAAATAGATGTTGAAAAAGCATAAATATATGGAAGTTTTTCTCTTCTCAGGATCATCTGAAAATTGCTCTTGGTGGCTGATGGCATGTTTTATGACTGACTCCACAGGGAACATGAGGAAAGGTGGTCTGTGTAAAGTTCTTTTTCTGTTTTACATAGAAAGAGAAACTTTGACTTGTTTTTCTTCTAATTATTCTTTGTAAAAATTTAATTATAATGACATGACACAATGTTAATCTCCAGATATGTATTCTTAAGAAATGATCCTAAAGAACTAAGCATCTATACACTGGATTAGTTAATATTAGACTTGAGCTCTTCATACTCTAGAAAGAATGCCCAGATTTCAAATTTTAAGAAAGGCAGAGGATGTAAACTGAGTAACTTAACATAACTAAAGCGCCACAGAACAGAGCTGACAATTCCCTGTTAAGAAGACTCTACTATCCTAACAGGAGATGTCAAAGCTTTTTGCTTTATATCATTTCTAAAGACTGAGTGCATTTTAAAATATATATATTTTTAATAACATGATTCTCTACTTTCTACTTCACTTTTCCCTCTCTAGGGCATATTTTCAGCAATGCACAAATTCGGTCAGATGAATTAATGCAATTAACTAGATCAGATGTTGCAGCTAGACAGTCATGGTCGCTATGGCATATATTTGATCTGCACAATACTCTTGTTTACCCTGCAAAAGGCTTAAAGTTGTTGCTTTTTTAAAAAATATTTTGCAATACTTAAAAATTAAGAGGCTATACATTAGCATCCGTACCTTTTATTGAAAAAAAGGACACTCTGGGTTCCCTGAGCCCTTAAACAGGAAACACACTTTCCAGTGTGCCAGAGTCCTATATGGACCTTGTCACATGTCTACATTACCTGCCTGGCCCCTCAAGGCATTTGACTTTGTGACTCTTAGTATATAAGATGCTAGCAATTGCATTAATTATCTGTTTGCTCTGACTATATAGAGGGTCTTTTTGTAGCCTATTCCACATAAATACCTCCTTTCTGAAATCCAGAATATTAAGACAATTTATAATGAGCAGAGTGGGATGATATATCTTCTGGACCACCCCACTGTAAATATATACTTAATTCCCTTCGACCTTGTTTTCTTAAGGATTTTTAAAATGTACTTTTTATAAAATTTCCAGGTATTTCCCTTCCTCTTTGTGATAAAGAAGAAAAGTTTCTGGGCTGCTTGATTCCTAAGATTTAAAAGATGGCATGCAATGATTATAATAAATGTCACTGGGCCATTGCCTAATTTTTTGAATATCCTAAGTACCTTAGTTTGTAAATACCCTAAGTTGTTATAAGAAAAACCATATGTAGGCTGGGCACAGCAGGTCATGTGTCAAATTCTAGTATTTTCATGGCCGCTGGGAGCTCACTATCTAATCCATCTCTCTAACCACCTCCCTCTACTTCTGCTGTTACTTATCTTGCACATTGACCAGCATGGCTACCTCAGCTGATTTCTATAACCTATTTGATCATTGCCTAACATGTGTCTGAAATTTCTTCTGTTTCTTTGTTCAAAAATAGAAGGAAGAGATCTGATTGGCCCAGATTATTCTGTGGATCTCCCTCTCTTTGAGTCAAATGTTCACTTCTTACCCAACCAATTGTGGTGGGAGGAGTCATGGAGCCCAATGCCCAGTCTGCCAAAGTTATGGGTAAAGCAGGAAATAATGGTATAGGTGGAAGTTTTGGCAAGGTGATCACGCTTGAGTCTAGCTGCAGCTAAAGGATATTTGCCCCTCTAGGGATATAACTGGTGGAGAATGCTGTTCATACAGCCCTGTGGGGGGCTTGAGAAATTAGGGCAGTTCAGGAGTCCAACTGACGTGGTTGGGATATTTGTCCTGCCCAATTCTTATATTGAAATGTAATTCCCAATGCTGGAGGTGGCGCCTGGTGGGAGGTGTTTGGGTCATGGGCGCAGATTCCTCATGCCTTGGTGCTGTCCTCATAATAATGAGTTCTCATGAGATCTGGTTGTTTAAAATTGTGTGACACCTCCCCACCCTCTCGCTCTTGCTCCTGCTCTGGCCATGTGATGTGCCTGCTCCTGCTTTACCTTTTGCCATGAGCTCCCTGAGGCCTCTCCAGAAGTGAAGAAGATGCTGGCACCATGCTTGTGCAGCCTGCAGAACTATGAGCCAATAGAACCTCTTTTCTTTACAAATTACCCAGTCTCAGGTATTCATTTATAGCAACACAAGTATGGCTTAATACAACAATTTTCAAAGTTTGAACAAGACTTCCATTCATTAGTGGCAGATAGAGCTATAAAATTCAATTGGGGTGATGAACAATGGGAGCATCATGGCAAGTAAGATGATGAATACCCAGGAGAGTTGAAAATCATTGTGGATCAGCAAAGGCTCCCCTGCTGTAGCAAAGTAAACAGCGGCTGAGGGCATGGAAATTCAAAGCTTGGCAATTCACATGCTCTTACTGTGACTTAAAGGACTGCTACTGAAAGTCTGATTTGTGGGCTTGATGGAAATGTACATTTTCAGGCCCAAGTCCAGACCTAATGAATCAGGATCTCTGATGGTGGGATCTTGGCTGTCCAGGTGATTTGGATGCTCACTGCTGTTTGAGAAGCACTGGCTTAATGGAGAATCTTCCCTACCTAATTGAAGACTTAAAGATGAGGAAGAGAATCTGTCTGGGAGAGGTGTGGGTGGGCTAGTTCTGGGGTTTGAAGATCTTTGAGACAAACGGAAGTTTAAAAGTAGCATCCCAGCATTGGTAAGGGAAATGCTGTTTACTCTTGAGAAGATGTTGCTTTAAATAAGGGGCTGAGCTTTTGAAAAAGGAGAACTTTTGGAAAAGTACATTGTCTGAGTCCATTTGTGTTTCTGTAACAGAATACCTGAGCCGGGGTAATTTATAATGAACAGAAATTTATTGGCTCATGGTTCTGGAGGCTGGGAAGTCCAAAATCAAGGTGCTGGAATCTGGAAGGGCCTTCTTGCTGCATCAACACATGGAAAAAGTCAGAAGGGCAAAAAGAGAACACACTCACTTCTGTGAATCCTATTTATAATTGCATTAATCCCTTCATGAAGGCTCTGTCCTCATGACTTAATTACCTCTTAAAGGTCCCATTGCCCAACATATCACATTGGGGATTAGGTTTCAACCTGTGAATTTTGGAGTGGACATAAACATTCAAACCATAGCACATCTCTTTCATTCTACCCCTGGAACACCTGAACTGACTCATAAGATCAGAGATAATGATGTCCTCCAGTCACACCCATCTATGAGTGAGGTTAAGGACATGGCTCCAAGTGTACACACCTATAGACTCAGACTTTGTGGATACCACACTTATCAGAAAACACTCTGTGAGAGCCCCACACAGCGCTGGCCAGCTGTAGCAAATGCTTAAGAGTTTTCTGTCCAACATGAATTCTTATAAAAAGTGTAAAAGTAAGGCTACATTTCTTTATATAGTGGGTGACTATATAAAGTGTAAAAGTAAGGCTATATTTCTTTATATAGCAGGTGACTATCAGGAAGACCTTTTTGGTTTTCTCTGGTGGCCTGGGAATATGTAGATAAATACGTGTTTCATTCCAAATGTAGATATATTTTTATCTATAGTGGTTTATCAAGTAGAATGTGATGTTTGTGAACCAGGCTGGGCACTTTCCCTTAAAGTCAGGCTATTTTACAGAATTTTTTAAAAGCTGCTGGTCACCAGTCTTCTCCTGTACTTCTTGATCTACCTTGCTCCTAAAATAAGTACAAAGGACACTGGATAATGTCCAGCTACCCTTGATATTATGGAAATAGACAAGATGACTCTACTTTATATTATTACATGAAGACCAACCTGAATCAGAGCTTTGCCATTTCTACCAGTTCCAATTATTACAAATATCTTTATCAGTTTTTCAATAACATTCTATCCTGGCTTGGCTAACAAAATTGATGGATTTTGACATATAATATTCATAGACACTAACAGAACTGTTATTATAGCCACAGTTGTGATAAATTGTTTTCAAAGATGCATATTTGAAGGGAGGCTGTATGGTTAAATACTGTTCTACAAGTCCAGATCCAGATCTGTCTGCAACACAACCTCAGAAAATATTGATTTTAAATTAAGTATGACATTTAATCTTTTCTATCAAAACGAAAGATCATATAAAAACAAAAAGGAAGATAGAGGTTGGACTTTTGAAAATAAATGAATAAAAAAGTGACAGTAACTCTTAGACAAAATTGGGTGATATTTGGAAAGTAACTTATTCATGAATTAGTGAATTTAGATGTCGTCATCTTTTAGAATATTAGTTTATAAATCTAACTTTTTTGGTAAACAATCTTAGCTGATGAGACAGATTGTGAAGAAAATCGAATTGCATTTATAAAGTATCATTTGTGTTTCATTGTCCTTAGACAATGCAGTGTGTGAGAGGACATCAAATTTCACTATTTTCTCTCCTACATCAAACTGATGGGATCTCAGGGTAGTCACAGATATGGCTAATGGCTGGATCCAGTAGGCCACAATTATCCCCTCAGATCCAGTTGATAGAACTTCAAATAATAAGTTATTTTACATAAAGAAAATATTCAAGAACCATATGAAACATTTCATTCTTTCAGTCAGACAGAGCACCCAATAACTTGCTTTTGGAAATAATGACTATTTATCACAAGCTCTAATGCGAGGCTGTGAGTGTCCATTGTTAATAATCTGTTATTTTAATAAAGTTGTCTGTAACATATTTGAGGTTGCATGACCCTGGTACAGCATGGTTTAGGCCAAAATCCTTTGTGTCAGACTGAGGGGAGGTGGAGGTGTCCTTCTGCAACACCCATTTTTTTCCTTTTGAAATAGAGTCTTGCTCTGTCATCAAGGCTGGAGTGTAGCGTGCAATCATAGCTCACTGCAGCCTTGAACTCCTGGGCTCAAGTGATACTCAAGCCTCAGCTCCCTGAGTAGCTAAGACTATAGACACTCGTCACCACACCCAGCTTATTATTTATTTATTGTTTGAGATAAGCTTTCACTCTGTCACCCAGGTTGGAGTACAGTGGCCATGAGGATGATGAGCACGGCCTACTGCAGCCTCTCTCTCCTGGGCTCAAGTGATCCTCCCACTTCAGCCTCCTGAGTAGCTGATATTACAGATGTGCACCACCACACCTAGCTAATTTTTTAAAACTGTTTGTAGAGATAGGGTCTTGCTATGTTGTCCAGGCTGGTCTTGAACTCCTGGGCTCAAGCAGTCCTTCCACTTTGGCCTCCCAAAGTGCTGGGATTATTGGCATGAGCCACTGTGCCTGGACCCAGCTAATTTTTAAAAGTTTTTTTTTGTAGAGACGGGGTCTCATTATGTTGTCCAACCTAGTCTCAAACTCCTGCCCTCAAGTGATCCTCCTACCTCAGCCTCCCAAAACATTAGGATTACAGGTATGAGCCACTCCACCCAGCCTCATTTTCTTTCCTTGATAAAGGACATCTAAATATAAATCAGAGAACCATATACAAATCTCCAATTATCAATCTATTAGCACTTGCCAAAAAAACTGCCTGTTTTCTGGCCATGTTGGTTATACTTAGTTAATTAAACTTGGTAAAAAATTATCGAGCCTATTCTAAGTGTAAGGCACTATGGAGGATGCAACTATAATAAAATGTATAAGATAACAATGACAACGTGATTGTTAGGTCTTTATCGTTTCCAAAGTACTGGCAAATTCATCATCTCCTTTGATCTTCTCAATGACTCTTACCCCTTACAGCTAGAAAACTGAGGACCAGGGGTCACGTGACTCACAGCAATTTACATGGGTCATGGGTGACAGAACTCACAGTAGAACCTACCTCCTGCACCTTCCTAACAGAGTTTTCTCCATGACTCTTATCTGTGCCCAACTTGCAACATAGCAATTGATTTATTGCCATCCATTCTTTATTGATGAACACCATGTGCTGGAGAACATCAGTGTAAGAAGGATTTCCTGGCTGCTGAGCCACTCTTAATACAGGACATGAAAGATGCTACCTGCCAAGTAAACCTGACCCAGGCTGTGAGAGGTTTACGGTATTAACAGGTGTGCATCAAGTCATCATCAATCACTTTAACAGTGCTGCTTTTGTTATTTTTAACCTTGCTCTGAAGTGTGATGCCTTTGTTAACACTCAATTTTGAATGGAAGGAAAAGAATATTTCCCTCCTGAAGAGCATGGTTACTTTATAAACTGCATTGTAGGACAAGGCAGAACCCACTCCTTCCTTGACTTTGTGTGAAATCCCCTCCCTCAGTCTAGAGAGTCTTATCTAATTGCAGCAAATCTCAACATTTGGCTTCTTTTTAGCATTTATTGTATCTGATGAATAAAAATCAAATTATAAATGAAGGACACACAGCCCAGCATTAGGGCTTGAAAAAAATAGCCATTCTTATCCAAGATGAGTGGTCAGGTGCATCTGTCTGACTAAAAGATTAAAAGGTTTCCAACCTTGAATTCCACAATACTCTCCTTTTTCACTCCCTTATCTAATCCATCAGCAAGTGCTCATGGCTCTATCTCCAAAATCTATCTCTTCTGCCCATTTGTGTCTCTCCCTCCCCTCACACCCCCTGAATCTAAGCTACCAATACTTCTAGCCTGCCCTTTGCTGGTAGAAGCCCATACCACCTAACAGTTTCCTATTTCCTTTTGCTCTTGTCCCTATGGCTGTCCAGCCCCTGCCCAGTGACCAGAGAAATGCTTTTAAAATTGTAAATCAGGCCACTTCCTGTCTGAAATCTCACTGGTTTCCCATTGACATTAAACTAAAATCTAGACTCCTTACCTTGGCCCTGTCCGCCTCCAGCCCTCGTGGCCTTCACTTCTCCCTTGGTGCCTGCTGCTGCAGCCACACACACGTGCAGAACACGTCCAGCTCCTTCCCATCTGTGGTAGGCTGAAAAAACCCACTCTTCTCCCCTGCAAATATATCCATGTTCTAATCCCTGGAACCTGTGACTGTTATATGGCAAAAAAGTCTTTGCAGTGTGATGACATGAAGCATCTTGAGATGGGGAGATAGATCCTCCTGAATTATCTGGTGGTCCCTAAATGCCATCACAAGTATCCCTGTAAGAGAGAGGCAGAGGGAGACTAGCTGGACACACAGAGGAGAAGATTTGAAAATGCTGGCTTTGAAAATTGGAGTGATGTGGCCACTAGCCAAGAAATGCTGGTGTCACCAGAAGCTGAGAGAGGCAAGGAATGAATTCTCCCCTAGAGCCTCTGGAGAAAGTGTGGCCCTGCAAACACCTTGATTTCCAACTTCTGGCCTCCAGAACTAGGATGGAATGAATTTCTGTTGTTTTAAACCACCAAGTTTGTGATAATTTGTTTCTGCAGCCACAGGAGACTATCATATCATCTTAGGATTTTTATGATTCCTCTACCTACAGTATATTTCTATGAAACCTTACATCTGCACCTTTAGGAGTTAGCTAAAATATCACCTCTTCAGGGAGAGCTCCCCTGACATTGGCACTAAGGTAGCTCAGTGCATCCAGACATTCTTTATCACATTGTCTGTTTTTTTCTTCATCTTCTTTGGGGAATTATTTATTTATTTTTTGACTTGCTCATTATTCCAGCATATAAAACAGTGTCTGACATGTGGTAGATGCTTACTAAATATTTGTTAAGGAAAGGAAGAAAAGAAGGAAAAAATATTACTGATTGCCCAGTGATAAAGAAAATATTTAATAAACATCTGGGCTTTTGAAAAACCTTTGGCTTTTATGATGAATATCTTCTACTACAGATAGAGTTACCTATATGCAATCTTAGAAAATGAAATACAAGGTTATATCTGAATTTCAGATAAATGCAAATATTTTTACTTTGAGTGTTTCCCACAGAATAAGTATGTTCCACCAAATATTGCATGGAATATACTTATACTAAAAATTGTTTTTATATGAAATTCAAATTTAGCTGGTCATCTTAGTTTGTTTCTCTTCCCCCTCCCCTTCATCTGGCAACCCTAACTGAGGATCACTACAGCTCTCTGTCATAAACAGAGATTGTTATCCTGTAAGCAGATGAAGGGATAAAGTAAACAAACAAATCCTTCCTTTGAAAGTCTTTTCTCATGCAATTATTCTTCAAAATCTTAGAATTATATACACATCAGTAAGTTTATCCTCCTCTCTGAAGGAAAACTAAAGAAGAGACATTCACTTACTCTCATCAGCCCGGGAAAGGAAGGCATCCACTGTGTTAGAAACAAGCCCTAATAGTTTTTCGTGTGAATCTCTATGCATAATGCCTTAATTGGGCAAAGTCCGGCATAGTGGAACTCTTTACACATGTGAAGGCAATATGAGTATTTGGGGCATGTTTTGATTCTTTTGGGGGAGTTTGGGATGAGATTTTGTGCATGTACCCTTTACTTCCCTCATATCTGACGCGGGTTGATAAAATAGACAGAAGATGGACTGACACTAGGGCTTTCTGGTAATGACCACTTTGTTGGCTGGGGCCTCTTACCACCCATCCCAGTGGAAGACAGTAGGCCCGGGAGCACATCCCTGGTTGAGCACATATCGGGGAGGAAAATATAGTCCTGGCAGCTCTGGCAGGGGCAGGCCCTGCTCACTATGAGAGATCAGAGAAGTCACCCTGTTGCTGTGAGAGCGAGAGCCCATTCATCAGGGTTTAGTGGTGCTCAGCCTGCCAGATCCACTGATAGAGAGGGTGGCCTGGTAAATGTCCTTTCTGACCAGCCAGACCTCTTCCCATGGGGAGGAGAAATCAGGGGTTTGAGGGGTAGGCATTCCCTCTTTGGCACTGCCCTCTGACAGAGAAAGTACATTGCCTTCTCTTAGGGTCAAAGGAAGAATATGAAAAGAGGAGCATAATAACTTCTCCCTAAAATGCTGCTTCAGGAGAAAGCAGGTATTTACAGAACAAAGTTGTCAGTACTATTGATAGACGTGACCAACCTTTAAGGCTGCCAACATGAGAGATTCCCTGTAGAACCAAAAGGTTTCCACTGGGCAGCAAAAGTGTTTGAAGACCTAATAAAGCATACTCTATGAGTTGTGTTTACTTTAAAGTCCCTTAGAAATCTAAAAATAGGAAGTTCAATGTTGAAAGGCTGCCCACCAGTAAGGAAACAGGTTGCTAGCCATCCATATGCACAGCCCCAAACTCCGTGCCTCAGTTTGCTTGCAGAAGTACAACAGGGGCTCAGTGCTACTCAGTTCTTCCCAGTGAGTTCACCCATCACAATACAGGAAGACATTCTAGGAGAATAAATTCAAATAATGACTAAAAATTTAAATCCATCTCTAGGAATAATATTCCTTTCTTATTATATCATAAACAAAATTCCCCTCAATCATGCCAGGAGGAAGGGAAATAAGTGTCTTCATGAGGCCCCTGTCTCATTTTTCACAATTTTTCTTGGAATTTTGTTTTAAATAAGACCACAGACTATCACAAAGACAGTCTCCTTTTTATTCAGCACCAACTTAGAATAAGTTTTGTGATTCTTTTGTTTTCAAAAATACATTAATTTCACATTTTAAAGAAGAGACTGAGCCCTAGTGGCTATGAATAGAATTTAAGTGTGCTTTTCAAAGACTTAAAGAGCTGAGCTCGAGGTAAATTCACTCTTCTGGATCACTGTTTAATACAGTCACGTGTTTGCTTAACGATGGGTTGTGTTTTGAGAAATGTGTTTTTAGGTGATTTTGTCATCATGTGAACATCATAGAGTGTCTTTACACAGACCTAGATGGGATAGCCTACTGTACACCTAGGTTAGATGGTATGTATAAGCCTATTGCTCCTA